>NC_000004.12:81497138-81648653 GCF_000001405.40 Homo sapiens | reverse complement strand
CATTCATTTTAAAGTGCTTCCTCATATGTACATTTAACTTCCAACCTCCAAATGATACAACTCAAAGAAAAGAAAGGGTTTAGCTATTTGTCTTTACAATGAATATGTTGTCAAAAGACCTTTGGCATTGATATACCACATAGATTTTTTTCTTCTTCCAAAGAAGGTAGGTGTTTCTAGATTCCATCCTGCTAGAAAAGAGATGCCTTGGTATAGTATAAAGCAGTGGTTTCCAAAAAGTGTGGTTCCAACACTAGCAGCATCAGTATCGCCTGTGAACTTGTAAGAAAGGCATATTCTTGGGCCCTGTCTCACACTACTACTGGTTGAAGGTACAATAGTCTGTGTTTTTAACACGCCCTGTGGGTGATTCTGATGCATATTAAAGTTTAAGAACCTCTGCTATCAAGAACCAGCACTAAGCCAGAAACTAGAAGAGAAAAATTCAGGTCTCAACTCCTATACTTAGCATCTGTGCCACCTTGAGCAAATAACTTGTTAGGATTAAGTGTTTTTTATTTAGCATAAGCCCAGCAACTGTTTAGTGAATAAGTAATACCAATGAAAGTTCTCTGAAAACCATTAAGTCCTATACAATTTAAGTTCTTATTGTTGTTATCTCATCTGGGGAGCAGTTTTGTTTGCTAAAATCATATGCTCCAGTTGAAGCCTCTTTTCTGCTTCTCTTTGAAGGTGTCTTTTTACCATCCAGGAAGAGTTGCCAACTTTTGTAAATACAAATAAAGGATATACAATTAAATTTATATTTCAGATATACCACAAGTATTTGTTTAAACATACATGTCCCAAATATTGAATGGACATCGTCGTCCTAAAAAATGACTTGTTTTTGACAAGTCCTATATTTAATCTGGAAACTCTACATCTCTGAGGTCTTTTGTTAAGGTTAGGGACCAGGTTTTATTGATTTCCAAATGCTTATGTATAAGAAGGAATGTCTTAAACAACCAGTAACAGGAAATCTCACAGTGGTTTTAACAAATAGAATTTCTTTGTCTTACACAGCAGGTAGTCTTGCCGGGAGGTGATTCTAGGAAGGATTCAGTGGCTCAAAGACATCAAGGATCTTGTTCTGGGTTCCTGTGATTCTCTTGGTCTTTCTTTCATTGTTACAAAATGGCTGCAGTGGCTCTAAGCCTCAGATTCTCACAGAACTTTCTTGTCAAACAACTTTATAACATAGTCAGAAGAATAGTTTACTTCCAAGAGTCTTTCCAGCGAACTGGAAAAATGTCTAGTTTTCCCAGTCTCTAGATTGGAGTTAACCAAGGTGGGAAGGTTTGGGAAGCAATTGGGGTAGCTAATTGAAAGTGTCTTCCAGTGTTGACCCAGCATCTATTAAGTGCCTATTATATGCCAACCCCTGTGCTTAGTGTTAGAGAGACAGAGATGTGTAATGCAAAGTTCTTGTCCTCCAGGAGTTTATAATTCTACTCAGGGAGACAGATATGAGTCAAATGAATTGATATTACTAGATACATGCTATGTTAGAAATAAGTTCCTTGTGTAATGGAAACCCAGAGACCACTTTCCCCAAGCCAGGAGTTTAGGAAAGATCCCTTGAAGAAATGCTACCTAGCCTGCAGTAGATGCTTGGGATTCTGCAAGAATTGAATCGGCTTATATGTAGTTTCTGGCACATAGTAAGGAGCAATGGATGTTAGCTCTTGTAATGATTAGTATCCTTATGGAAGCCGGTGGTTGATGTGTCACATGGGTGTTCATCTTTTATTGGATGATCTAAAGTAGGGGGTATAATCAGTGTTAACTTTCACAAGGTTAGGAAGTTGGACAAGGAATGGTGAAAATGAGTAGAAAATAATCAGATGGCAGAACCAGGGAAACTAAAATCCATAGATCTAAAGAGCCACCGAATCAGTGCTTCTCAACACTTTTATAGTGTATGTTCCTTTATATACATGTGTGTGATCCTCATATGATTATTAATGTATTAATGCTAATTGAAATTTAAAATAAAACCAAGACTGTAACTAAAATAAGTCAAAACAATGGGAAAATATGCTGCTTTGTTTTCAACCTGTAACACAGCTTCCTTCACTTCACAAAACCCATTCAGATACCCTCTCTTCTTCCTGCTCTGTAAATAAATTATTGCTTTGGAGATCAGATGAATTAGCAGTTTTTTTAATTCTGTGATTTTCCAGGTCCCTGGAGGGTGCCATAAAGGCTACTGAAGGGAAGGCCCAATTTTCTGCAGTTTGATGTCTAAACAACCACACACACCTCCTCCCCCAGTACACACACACACACACACACACACACACACACACACACACACACACATACACACCCCAAACAGGACTTTTATTAAGCCAAGGCAAGGGAGTCAGATTATCTGTCATCTTCTAGCTGTGTGGACTCAGGCAAGTTTCTTAACTTCTTTGTGCCTCAGTATATTTATCTGTAAAGCAGGAATGACAGTAACAGTTCCTATTTTATAGTATTATTAAGAATGGCAATTAAATGAGGTAATTCACCTAGATTACTTGGCACAAAGCCTGGCAAATTCTATTTATGTAACAACTTTGAATTATTAGTAGTACCATTTTTATTATTAGATATTGGAGGTTTGAATATGATTTATCTCAACAACAAAGAGTTCCACTGCAGGGGAAAAAAATAAAAGGCTATGGTTGTAGTCAAATTTCCTTCTATTGCTGAAGCCATTGAGGTTAAAGACGTGAAATGACTTGTCTAAGGTCTTTTGGTTAGTGGTAGATTTAGGTTCAAACATCATATCCCAGACCATCACTGCAAAGCTTGTATAAACTCACAGTTCACAAGGCTTCACTGCTCAAAACAATTTTTACTTGAATTATTATAAACTAGCACCAGATAGCAACAGCCCATTAAAATATATTTCAAGCACTGGTTTCTATGCTTTGAGGTCTGATATAAACAGTAGATAACCTACTTTAACAGCACATATTAATGTCCACCCAACAGGCCCACCGGTAGGATACCCATCCAAGTCTCTTTTCAATTGCTACCCCATTCTCAGTTTCACTATCTCATCTTAGAGAACAATCCCTCCTCCTAACAGACTGAACTCTTGCTAATCCACTAAACACATTTTGAGAAGTGGGTGATATGGTTTGGCTGTGTCCCCACCCAAATCTCATCTTGAACTGTAACTCCTATAATTCCCACATGTCATGGGAGGGACCCAGTGGAAGGTAATTGAATCATAGGGGTAGTTTCTTCACATGCTGTTCTTGTGATAGTGAATAAGTCTCATGAGATCTGATGGTTGTATAAATGGGAGTTCCCTTGCACAGGCTCTCTTGCCTGCCACCATGTAAGACATGACTTTACTCTTCATTCGTGTTCTGCCATGATTGTGAGGCCTTCCCAGCCATGTGTAACCATGAGTCAATTAAATGTCTTTTCTTTATAAATTACCCAAGCTTGGGTATGTCTTCATTAGCAGCATGAGAACAGACTAATACAATGGGCTTAAAAAGCTAATAAATTCTCTCCAAAGGAGAAAGCCACCATACTCCTCATAGGTATTCCATTCTCATGGACTCACAGTTTAGAAATTTATCTTTAACTCTTTTTTCTCTTGCCCACGTTCCTGCATTACTTTCTACAGAATGTTCAAAGATTATTTCCTAGACCCAGGTCTGCTTGGTTTCACTAACTTAATCTTCTCCTTTAGTCAGGTCATTCTCCTTGCTGGACCCAGCAGGTAATAATTTCATCCAAACTGGGCTTAGACAATAGGAGCAATTGTGTCACATGACAGGAAACCCAAGAGAGCAGTTATAGAGTTGATTCAGTGGCTCAATATCATTAATGGTGCTGGGGCAGCTTCTCTATAATTTTCTTGTGTCTCCTTCATGGTTCAAAGTGGCTACTATAACTCCAAGGATTATGTCCTTTCAGAATAGGGACCTAGTCCTAGGGAGGACAGACCCTTGTATATTGTTCCATTCATGATAGAGGAAAACCTTTCTCAGAGTCCATCAGTAGCCTTATCCTTTTGTGCCAGGATGGGTGCAGTTGTCCATGCCCTGGCTTCAAAGGCAATTGGGAGACTCTGTGGTGGGGGACGGGCTCTGCCATGTAGGAAAAAAGGAGGAAGGAATGGTTGTTTTGTAGGTATGTTAGTTTACTAGGGTTACCCTAGCAAAATACCACAGACTAAATGGCTTAAACAACAGAAATGTATTTTCTCACAGTTCTGGAGGCTGAAAGTCCAAGATTAAGATGCCAGCAGGGTTGGTTTCTTCTGAGACTTCTCTCCTTGGCTTGTGGGTGTTTCTCTTCTCACCCTATATGGTCATTCCTTTTTATACGGACACCAGTCAGATTGAATTAGGGCTCATGGCCTCATTTTAACTTAATCACCCATTTAAAGGAAATATCTTCACACGCAGTCACATTCTGAGGTACCAAGCATTAGAGCTTCAATGTATGAATTTTGAGAGGAGACCCAATTCAGTCCATAACAATAGGCAAACAGCTTTGCGTGTCATACAGAGACAGATTTCCTTCTACCCACCCTTGAACCTTTGTATGTGCCTTCCTTCCTATAGAGAATCACGTTCTTCTCTCTGGTTTTTAAAATACCCTCATTATCCAAAACGGATCCAAATGGGACTCCAGGAATCCCTGCCTTTACCTTTCCTCCTCTTCCCCAAGTACTTTGACTGAACTCTGCCTCCATTCATATGCATGCATCTTTATCATTGAAGATTTATTAGCCTAGGAAAATTTGATTAGAGCTGAACAAATTTATAGACAAATCATGACAAATCACACAGTATGAATGCTTGTTTAGACAAAACCTAGGTTTTAATTTCAGTGATCTTTGGCTGAAGTTGGGGAAAGCTTCATCATGCTGAGATGGGAATGTGATCTAAAGTCTACTAAAACCTGCATGTTAATTCATCAATGTTACATGTTGAAGTGGGAACTTGAGGAGAACTTGGAGTTCCATGTGCGATCTCCCAAAGCAACTTTAGAATATGAAGCTGGAAAATGAGTCTTTAGTTCAAAGGGAGAATTGATAGGACACTTTTTTGTATAGTGTTGGATTCCTGATCAGAAGATTCTCAGCAGGCCGGGCGTGGTGGCTCATGCCTGTAATCCCAGCATTTTGAGAGGCTGAGGCACACAGATCACTTGAGCTCAGGAATTTGACACCAGCCTGGGCAACTTGGTGAAACACCATCTCTACAAAAAATAAAAAATTAGCCGGGCATGGTGGCACTCACCTGTAGTCCCAGCTACTTGGGAGGCTGAGGTGGGAGGATCACCTGAATCCAGGAGGTTGAGGCTACCATATTCGCACCACTGCACTCCAGCCTGGGTAACAGAGCAAGACCTTATCTAAAAAAAAAAAAAAAAAAAAAATTTCAACAGAATTATGGTCACATGCTATATGCTTCCTCCTTTCTACCTGTCCTCCTTATACTGTGCTAGTATGGAGATAGGAGAGTCGCAAATTCAAGATGCAAAAAGCTCTTCTACTTTTATAGTGGCAACCATGCTTCAATTTGATTTTCAGCTGTATGTTTAACTTCTTAGTCTTCTACAAAAAGAGTATATTTCTCAGGGGCAAGATCTGAAGTCCCTTATTGATACAATCCTCTTGCATATGGAATTCTTATTTGTCACAGCTTCTCTTGGTAACTTTTAAAAATTGACTATTGCAAGGTTATTTTGAATCTGGAAGTTTTTAAAGAAAATAAGAGACTGTGACTATGTGAGCCTGCTTATTAAGGCATCATGCTTTCAAGTCCCCTCTGCCGGTGCAAAGGTCTTTTTATCTCTGATCAGTGGTGGACTTCAAAGAAAGGGACATATTTTGCACATCTTCCCTTTCTGCCAGTTCCTTTCTATGCAGCTTTTATTGAAAGGAAGCCAGCACACACCTACGCACATGACATGCACACAAAATAACAGGTTTCTCGGGCCAGGGCCTTCAAAGGCTAGCCCCCAACCCAGTGATGTTCTGATTTGTGAAAATTGCCTTTCACATCAACAGCACTTTGTTGTCAGGCTCATAAGAAAAACAAAGTGCCAGAAGTTTTTTTTTTTTTTTTTTTATGTTTGAATGATTCACTATTTTATAACATGCACACGTGCTTTTTAAATTTAAAATCAACAGAGGCCTATCAACTCTAATACATTGTGATAAGCTCTAAATGATTGGCACAAATAATGGACAATAGGAACATGAAGCGAGACACCATCAGTTCTGCCTGATAAAAGAAGAATCATAGATGAGGTAAGAAAGAAGGAAGCCTTGAAAGATGAATAGAGCAGAATCTTCCTAGATTGAAGGGTAGGGAAATCTGGGCAAAGGCAGCAACACGGAGGAGTGAAAATGATGGGTCTTTTGAAGGAATGACCTTTCTAGTGGCAAGAAGTTAGAGGCACCAGGACAAAGGTGAGTAGACAAGATTTCAGAGAGAGGAACACACTCACAAGTTAGGTTTTAAAGGATGCAGGGTACTGGGAAGTCAAAAAAGGGAAAATAGATGGCATAACAAAGTATACAGGAAAAGGTCTTGGCACTAATATTTTACACAATTGGAAGGACTGTAGACCAATACTTGTAAAGTAGTTAGAGAACAAGCAAAAGTATTGTAATATCATGTGCCCAGCTCAACTGTCTAAACTGTAAATGCATACTTAGATGCAGAGTTTGTTCTGAGGTTGGCAAGTTTAAAGAAGTCTTCCTGGAGTGGGTAGAGATGGGACAAGGTCTGACAGGTTAGGAGACTTGAACCGTAAGAGGAAAGGAGAAGGCATTCTCCCTGAGCAAAATCTTAACAGAAGGATTAGCATTGTGGGAAGAGAGGTATATATGAAAGACAATAGAGATTAGCCCAGTAATTATGAGGGAGGTTTAAGTTGTAGTCAATTGGTTTATTTCAGTGCTTCTCAACCTTGACTGCACATTGGAATCTTTTAGGGAGGCTTAAAAATACTGATGCCTGGGTCCCACCCCTAAGGATTCTAAATTAACTGGTCTGGAGTGTGGCTTGGCAACAAGATTTTTAATAGCTCTAGAGTACAGCCAGATTTTGAGGGTATATTAGGGAGAACCACATATTCAAAGCCAAGGAATTTAGATTTGGTTCCATAGGCATTGCCTATTCTTAAGTGATGGAGACATGGAATGGAAGTGATCTGTAAGAAAGAGAGAGCAAGCTAGTAATGGAAAGTGGATTGGAGAGAGGTGGAGCTCCTGGAAATGAGTGGGACTAGAAATCCATAGAGAAATCTTGGCATGAGTTTTCAGAGCAACAGGATAGCATGGTAAAGGAAAAGGAGGGCAGGCCCCAAAGATGCATTAAAGAATCATCCTAAGAACCTGATAAAACAGACAGCATGATTTAGCAGAAAGAATGGGGATTCTGGAGGTGGATGGATTTGGGTTTGAATTTCAGCTTTGCCCAGCTTCCAGCGTGATGACCTGGGCAAGCACTCTAACTCCTCCTTTAAATGGGATCTCCATGCTGGAAATAGAGATAATAATACTGACCTTGCAGAGGTGTGGTAAAGAATAAATGAGATCATGTATAAAAGTACCTGGCTGGCGTGGAGTAAGTATTCAGTAAAAGCAATCTATGTTTTCATTCCTATAGAGAATAAAAAAGCTGACTGGTTAAGAACATCCACTTTGCAGACTAGTGATCTAAGCCTAGCTCAGCCCCTTGATAATTGTACACTACGGATAAAGGGGACAATTTCTCTAATCATAAATTTTCCCATCTGTAAAATGGGAATAATATTCCCTACCTCATAGGGCTCCTAGGATCGTGCTAGGTACATAATACACACTCCTTAAATGTTTGTCAAATAAAATATTTAAAGAATCAAGAGTTTTGAGAATAATAGAAAACACACAATACTTATTGTGTGCCAGCCAATATTCTCAGTGCTCTCTATATATCAGCTCCTTTAATCGTCACAAACCCGTTAATATGATACTCCAACTATCCCTGTTTTATAGATACAGAAACTGAGTTCAGTAACTTGCTCAAGGTCACACAATTGGTTTATAGTGGTCCAAGACTGTTTGGCTTCAGTTCCTACTGTTAACCACTGCTTCACACATAGTGTCTAGCTTATAGTAAGCACTAAATTTGTTATTAACACATTTCATATACACAATTACTGTTATTGGTATTTAGGGAACAAAGGAGAAACAAGCATGGTGGTGCCATCTATAGAAATAGGAGAAAGAGATGAGAGGACAGAAAATCATAATTCTTCAGGAAACTCTCCCATATTAGGCCTTGCTCAAGAGCATTCTTATTTCCCTTAAGCCCATTCTAAAACTAGACTTCTAAGTGAAAGAATTTCTCAGACACCCAATTTTCTAAGCTAGAGTTCCTCTTGAGAACCTGCGTTAACCTAACCTCAGTAGGACATAGAGTCACTGAGACAGGGCTGTTGTGCATGGCTGTTCATATCGTTCACTATGCAACTGCACGCCCCATCCACACCATGATCTATGACAACCCCTGGAGTTTTGCTGTGCCCGACTTGCAAGATCATACTCTTCCTGGGCAGGGCCAACTACGTAATTTGCTGAGCCTCGTGCAAAATGAAAATGCAAGAACTCCACATTCAAAGGGCAGGGAAAAAGTGCCAGTAAAGGCACTCATATTTTAAATGTTTAAAACTTTTTCCTTTCTTCCACGTTCTCTCCCTCATCATAATGTTTTATTATTACTATTATTTAGTGTTGCAATCCCTTGGGCATGGGAATGAAGGGCAGTTACAGAGCCTCACAGGTGCCCAGGGATCCCACCCTGCAACTCAGCTCACCAGTTGCCAGGTTTCCTCTCTCTCCAGATGCCAGGCCCGCCAAGAGGCTGTGTCCTGGCAGAAAGCTGGGGGTTGAGGGGTGGGAGGAGTCAATCTTCCCTTCCCATGGACCTGCTGTCCCAAGCTACAGTGACTGGTAGCCCCAAGGGGATTGCATCCTTCAAACCAGGACATGCCAGGTACCTGGATCCAGGTGGGTGAGAGACTTACCTCCACTCCCCTCTCCTCCTGGCCTATCCCCTCCCCCACCCCCTGCTGCCACCCACCAAGCATGCATGGTACTGCCAGTCTGGAGAGGAGATGGCAATAACCACACCCTGTGCTGGGAGTCCAGGGCCCACAGGCTCGATCAGGATCTGCCCTGTACCCATGCCTAGTCCTTGCAGGAACAAAGGGTGACAGCAGTCACTGGGCAGGGTGGGGAGGGGCAGCCAGCAGGGCTTGGGCAGAGATAGACATTGGCAGTTAGTTTGGAGTCCCTTTAATATAACATGTATGAATACAGCCAGCCTGTATGCTCTCCCAATATAAACCAATTGATACATTCAAGTTTTCATATATTTTCAAACTAAGACCCTGAACCCATTAGCAATCCCTTCTTATTTCCCCAACAATCTCCCCCGACCCCAGCCCTAGGAAACCACGAATCTACTTTCCATTTCTATGTATTTTCCTATTCTGGGCATTGTTTACCACATTGAAGTTTTGGTGTGGACATGTTTTTATTTCTCTAGGGGTCTAACTGCTGGGTCATTTGGTAACTCTGTGTTGAATATTTTGTTTGCCACAGCATCTGTGCTACTTTACATTCTTACCACCAATGTATGAGGGTCTCAATTTCTCCACATCTCCAAGCTAGAGTTCTCTTTGACAACCTGAGTTAACCTAACCTCACTAGGACATAGAGTAACTGAGACAGAGCTATTGTATATGGCTGTTCATATTGCTTGCTTGCTTTTCTTAGGCATGGTTAGCCACAAAACCTATCATCAGTTCAACTGGGTTATGTATTAAGAAATGCATGCATTTCTTTCTTTTCTTTTCTTTTCTTTTTCTTTTTTTTGAGATGGAGTCTCGCTCTGTCACCTAGGCTAGAGTGCAGTGGTGTGATCTTGGCTCACTGCAACCTCTGCTTCCTGGGTTCCAGTGATTCTCCTGCCTCAGCCTCCTGAGTAGATGGGATTACAGGCTCATGCCACCATGCCCAGCTAATTTTTGTATTTTTAGTAAAGACGATGTTTTACCATGTTGGCCAGGTTGGTCTTGAACTCCTGACCTCAAATGGTCCATCTGCCTCAGCCTCCCAAAGTGCTGGGATTACAGGTGTGAACCACCGCGCCCAGCCAGGAAGGCATACATTTCTTAATTGCTAACATTTATTGTTATCCTTGTTTTTGATTATGGCCATCCTACAAAGGTGTGATGGGTGTAATGTGGTACCTTGTTGTAGTTTTGATTTGCATTTTTCTAATAGCTAATAACATGGGACATCTTTTCATGTCCTTACTAACCATTTGTAAATCTTTCAAATCTTCTGTTTAAATTCTAAGCCCATTTTACATATATATGTAAAATATTATATAATTTAATATATATAAAATTAAGTGTAAAATATATATAAATATATATTCAATTAAAAGTAAAATAATATGTATTATAATATATATCTATATATTATAATACATATTATTTTACTTTTAATTGAATATATATTTATATATTATATATAATATATTAATATATAATATGTATTATATATAATATAAATATGTATTATATATTATATATTATATCTATATTATATATAGATATAATATATAATATATCTAATATATATTAGATATAATATATAATTATATTATATATATTAGCCAGTGCTTTGGGGGGCTGAGACAGGGGGATCGCTTGAGCCCAGGAGTTTGAGGCTGCAGTGAAATATGATCGTGCCACTGCACTCCGGCCTAGGTGACAAAGCAAGACCCTGACTCTAATATATAGATATATATATAGATATATATTATATCGATATTATTATATTAATATTATATATTAATATCTATATATTATAGATGTAGATATTAATATCTATATATTAATATATAGATATATATTATATCTATAGTATTATAATATATATTATATAATTATATATTATATATTATATTATATAATATATTATATAATATATAATATATATTATTATATAATATATATTTTATATTATATTATATTTTATAATAATTATATTATATATTATATAATATTATGTAATATATATTATATTATATAATATTATGTAATATATATTATATTATATAATATTATGTAATATATATTATATTATATAATATTATGTAATTTATATTATATTATATATAATATAATATAATATTGTATGATATATAATACAATATTATATTATATTATATATAATATAATTATATATTATAATTATATATTATATATTATATTATATAATATAATATATAATATATAATTATATAATATATATTATAATACTATAGATATAATATATATCTATAATATATAGATATTAATATATAATATTAATATAATATCGATATAATATATATCTATATATATATCTATATATTAGAGTCAGGGTCTTGCTTTGTCACCTAGGCCGGAGTGCAGTGGCACGATCATATTTCACTGCAGCCTCAAACTCCTGGGCTCAAGCGATCCCCCTGTCTCAGCCTCCCAAAGCACTGGCTAAGCCCATATTTTAATTGGGGTATCTTTCTTTATTTTATTGAGTTGTAAGAGTTCTTCATATATTCTAGATATAAATCTATTATCAGATATGTAACATGCAAATTTTCCCCCATTTTGTGAGTCATCTTTTTCATTTTCTTGTTGATGTCCTTTGAAGCATAAAAATTTTTAATTTTGATGCAGTCTAATTTATCTATTTTTTTCTTTTGTTGCACTTGCTTTTGGTATTATATTTAAGACCTCACTTAACCCAAAATCACTGAAGATTTACTTCTGTGCTTTCTTCTATGAGTTTTATAATTTTCTTTCTTACATTTAGGTCTATGGTCCTTTTGGGGTTAATTTTCATCTATCATGTGAGAAAGGGGTCCAGTTTCATTCTTTTGCATATAGATATGCACCATTTGTTGAAAAAAAAACTATTATTTCCCCCATGGAATTGTTTTGGTACCCTTGTCAAAAATTAACGTCTAGCCTTATGCTGCCTTATCTTGAGAGAAATGCCTTATCATGAGAAAATGACTCAAGTTTGGGAAATCTACTGATTTTGTCAGATTTATTTTATTTGAGTGTTTTACAGACATAAAGGAATTAGAAATAGCTTCCTAAATCATTCATTCTTTTCTAACCTTAATGCAATTCAGTTAGAACAAAACCTGGGTCCAGTGGGGTCCCCAACCCTCAAAACCCTCTAGCCAACTTGATGAGAAAGAATGTTGTGGGTTTTATGAGAAAAAACAATCAGGAAATAATATTTCTTGAGTAATGCTTTTGGCATTTAACATTAAAGCAAACTAGTTTATTACTTTGGAGTCAACGACTCAGGCAAATTTTTATAGGATTTTATAGATTCTCCACATAATCATTACATTGTAGTGGTGCCTACAACATGCCAGGGACACTAAACATGTGCATGTCTGGATCCATTGATTATTAATTTTCCCCTCCAATCCTTACCACAATCCTAAGAAGTGAATATTGATTTCCCTGTCTTACACATAAGGAAACAAAGGTTGTGTAACTTGCCCAAGGTCATCCACCTTGTAAGTGGCTGAGATGGAATTTGAACTCAGGTTTGTCCGAATTTCAAGTTTAACGTGTTGCAGTTTGCCTTTACAGACGTATCACCAGCCTTGTATACCAGCTTTTCTTTTGCACAGTGCTTTCACTTCCTCATTCTTACAGAGGCTGTGTTCCCTGCCACGTGGGGTGAGCCAATGGGCTGAAGAAGCATGAGGAAAAGGAGACTCGGGTATGGCAGGTGGCTGTGTGGAGAGGACACTTGGTAAGAATGCTGCCAAGTTGCAGGTGTAAATGATCCGTGAGATAAATGAGAAGCCTTCCCCTGTACGACTGCTTTTCATCAAGCAGAAATGATTGAAAAGATTCTGGGTCAAAGAATTTACCTAAGTTTATTTTTATAGAAATTTTGTGTTTTAGAGCCAGAAAAATATTTAATCTGACTCAACTAGGAAACCTGTACTCATAAATAGATTCTCCTGAACATAATCAAAATGATAATTTCCTCCTCTGGGCTCAACCAGCCCTGGTTGCCCTACTGCAATTATCATCTCTCTGCCAGTCTACTATGCTATTTCATTTTGTCAATCCATACTAATTTTCAGGCAGTGCAAGGAGTTGTGTGTGTGTGTGTGTGTGTGTGTGTGTATGTGTTTCCCTGCAGCTCAAATCATCTCTGTCTCCAGAGGAAAGCATGACTGCTGTAAGTCAAATTGAATTTGCAATTCCCAGGATAGCCTTTATCACTGTTGTGCAAACACTGTCCTCTTAAAAACCTGTCTGAGGGATAGCATTTGATACCTGTGCATCATCTGACTCCATGAGGCCAGTGTTGAAAATCTTGCTGTCCTTCTCATCAGGCCAGTTGAAGTATGGCCTAGTCATAGTGTAAAATGGCTGTTCTTTTCCTCTGGAGCATTTCCTACATATGCTGCTTATCAATAGGAGTGGGTCATCACTAAACAAAAGAAATGAGCAGGCAGAGGGAGGGGATTGTCAGTGTTCCCTGGAGGTTGAACATTTTAAGTGTGTACATAAGTGTGCCCAGTTATGACAGAGTCACTTCCTGTCCTGAATCCCCTCCACAAACACAGGACAATGTCATGAGGTGTATGATGTAGATAATCACATGGTGTGTTGCAGCAACATATTTAGAGCTTATCATCAAGAGGACTTTTGAAATAGGCAGGTGAAGACTCCATTTCCGTTGTCCAGAAAGAGATGATGAGAGTGAAATTTCAGCATCATAGCCTATGTGCTGTCAACATGGATGTAATAAGCTTTTGATAATTTACAGGCTATTTTTCTGCTCAGTGAATGATTTAGGGCCTTTTATTCTGTGATTGACAGGGCTTCTTTCACAAGGCGGGCATGGGGAGGGGAAATGACCATTTTCCAACTCATTTCCAGTGTTGCTGAAGAACTTCTTGTGGGGTGTAGAGTATAATCCCCAATAGCTGGGACGCCCTGGGATGATTTTTGGATAAAAGTATATTTGACATGTCAGTATCACCCTATTCCTTGCAGTTGGCACTTGCAATTCCCAAGGCTACCATGGGAATTGCAAAATTTTTTTAAAAAAATATGAGATTGGAATTTCCATTTCTGTGCCCTAAACATGAGATATAATAGCAACATCCAGGTCACTGTGATTAAAGATCTCACCCCACGTTTGATGCCGTAGTCCAGGTTCTGCTTTTTGAGACTGGCTCTTCCTCTTGTTTCCCTTAGTTTGCACTCTTTCTGCTTCCACCTACCTCTCAGACACACCCACAGCCTCCTTTGCTAATTCCGAATTTTTCCACTCAGCTTCATGATGGAGGAGCTACCTTGAGATCTATAGTCACCCCACTTCTCGGCTCCATTCTCTTCCTCAGAGCTATTCCATCCACTCCTTTGTCCTCACTCACATGTAAATCTGTTAGTGCCAGAGCTGAATAGCTCACTACCTACTAGGTGTCAACCTAGAAACATCCAGCAGACATCTTAGACTTAACTAGTTGAAAATCAAACTAAATACTGTTCCCTTCCTTTTTCTGCCGTACTCAGGTCTCCAGTTCCCAGAGTTGCTCATCATCAGTAAGAATTTCCATGTATCACATAAATTGCTTCACCTTCTTTGAAAAGAAATCTGGAAGACTTAGTTATAATGAAAAGTATGTATACTGGCCAGACACAGTGACTCACGTCTGTAATCCCAGCACTTTGGGAGGCCGAAGCAGGTGGATCATTTGAGGTCAGGAGTTCGAGACCAGCCTGGCCAACATGGTGAAACCCTGTCTCTACTAAAAATACAAAAACTAGCTGGGCGTGGTGGCAGGCACCTATAATCCCAGCTACTCATGAGGCTGAGGCAGGAGAACCATTTGAACCCAGGAGGCAGAGGTTGCAGTGAGCTGAGATCACGCCACTGCACTCCAGCTTGGGTGATGGAGTGAGACTCTGTCTCAAAAAACAAAAAAAAAGTACCTATACCTTTTAACCCAGCGATCCTATTTTTAGACTCTATCTTATTGAATTCAAAGCACCTCTCTATATAAAGATATATTTGTAAGGATGCTTATTGTTAGTGATAGAAAACTGGGAACAACCTGAATTCCCATCAGAGCAGAATAGATGACAATGAATTATGGCCATCTTGCAGCTCTTCAGTGTGAAAACGCATCTATGATATATTCTGAAGTGAATAAAGCAGCTTGCAAATTAATATGTACATCATCCCGTTATTATAAAAACAAAAATAACAAAAAACTCTACCTGTGTATATGTGTTTGTGTGTTTGAATGGACATGGGAATGGTGGAATAATCAGCTGACTTAATGTTATTTCCCAGGGTGGGGTGTGGTGGGGATGAACGAGCACGTGTTGCCTTTGTAATATTTGAAAAAAAAATTTAATTGCTCATCATTCCATATTTCTTGCTAGTCACTCAAGTAGGAATCTTAGCATCACGTTAGACTCCTCCTTCCCCCTTTCTTTTGCCAATGATTCATTGTTTCTGTGTCTCAATCCTTCACCGGACTGTAAAGGCATTGAGGGCGAGGCCTGTGTATGGTAATGTTGTCTCCTGCCTAGTACCTTGCACATTTCTTTCAACATACGGTTATTGACTTGAAATAAAGATTTTAATGTGTGATTTATCCAGTTTTCTATTATACGGATATCTCTTGGTTTTTATTTCTAATACAGAGGGATGCCAGTGCTTTTGCCAAAATCCTCAAATCATATACCACCCTCCCCCACCTGCTGTGGAAAATGTGGCCTTGGGATATGCAATATTACATCATGTACTCTTCCATCCCAGGTTGAGTTACTTAGTCTTCTCCTACACATATTTTTACCCACCTCTGCATCCTGCTTTCAGTGTCACTTAGAGTCCTTTGGATAAGAGGCAGCCAAATGGGGTAAATGGGCTAACCGTCTCTGAAGGCCTGTGTGCATATGTGCACTGAAGTAAGCATAGAACGGTACCTGTGTCAAATACATGATGAAGAAGTTGGCCAAACATCCAGGTATTTCCTGAGGTCAAATATTTGGCAATGTGAAACAGACATTTTAAAACCAATTTCTAAATTTTGTCTCCTCTATATTAAAGATTAAATAGGGAACTCAATCTAGGGAATCTTTCACCACACCTGTGGCTTTCTTCATATACGTACACCCACACACGTGCGCAAACACGCTGCTGCATTGCACTTTACTTGAATTTCAATTTGCTGAATCATGATTTAACTGGCTTTGCTCCTATGGCTTTCCAGGACTGATGGCTAATGTCTGAGTTGCCTGAAAGGGGAGTGGCAGCTGTTTGGTCAGATTTGATGGATGAATTGCTCCACTGATCTTTCTACCAGTTCTGCATGCACTGTTTCATCCTGCATTCCAGAGCTTTGACCAAATTCTGATACAGAGATCTGTGATTGGCCATCCTCAGTTTGTTGGATTGCACAGCACATTGAATAACCAGGCATGATGTCATTTTCATGCAAAGTAACAGCAACACATGATCTCTTAAACCAGGTTGAGTTAAATCATCAAGCTGCTATTTATATCCCTAGCACTTCTCAGGCTAAGAGTGCAACAGCATAGCAGCAGGTATCAATTACAATCCTCATTTGTTCTTGGAAGTAGCTAATAGGGGAAGTAAGAGCTGTTCCTTATCCACAAGATCCCTGCTTGTAAGAGAGAGAATTTGGCATCCCATTGGGTAATATAAACTTCAAAAACAGTAAGAAATGAGTAGTTAAAAATAGTTGACTGGAAACCTATTGTGGTTCCTAAAGAATGCTACCCTTTGTGATGTTCTCTATATATAGTTATGAGGTTCTAGGCTGAACATAGTCAACAGACAGAATTTTATTCAGGAGTTATGCTTCTTGAAACTGCTCTCTCTGTATTTTGCATTTTTTAAGAGTTGATGTCAAGCTAGTAACACTTAAGGGGTTTCCTTTTCCTATATTGGTAGTGAGTTCTAAATATGGCCTTCTCACTCCAATCAGTTGGCTACTCTGATTTAAGTCAAACCACTGAAAACATATTCTTATACAGCTTGCCTCTTTACTGAGCCCTCCTCTCCTACCACCCTTCTCTCCAAATAAACAGGAAAAGCAACCCCAAGCAACAAAATATCTGTTGAATAAGCATCATCTCCTAGCATCAGAAGTTAGTGGGAGCTTTGCCCAGGGAGAGGAATTAGAAATCAGCCTATAAAAATAAATGAATCTGTTTCCATAGTGATGGGAATCTTTCTCTCCATAGTTTTTAATCCTGTGTTCTCCCACAGATCCCTTAGGCAGAATAACAATAAAGTCAAAGACAACATTTTATTATCTTAATGGATCCTTA
The DNA here is from genome assembly GCF_000001405.40 of Homo sapiens. NCBI lineage: Eukaryota > Metazoa > Chordata > Mammalia > Primates > Hominidae > Homo > Homo sapiens. The sequence continues at coordinate 81,631,220 of NC_000004.12, read as the reverse complement.
ATTTAAAGCCAAAAGCCTTTAAATTATCTTCCCAAAGATACCATTGACCGTAACTTTTGGAATTGGATACCTGAACATCGTTGCAGGAGGAATATCATCTCCTAGAACCCTAGCCAAGCAGGAGGGATGAAATGAGGAAGACCTCGTGGGTTACACATGCATTTTGCATGCAGCATTTCCCGATGAGTAACACAACTGTCATGTTTAATATTTCATTGGTGAAGAAAATGTGCATCTGTCTGTGTTCATCTGCCGAGTGAAATTTTGCACTGATGGAGCCTGTGTGTGGTGAACACGACAGGGCTCCCTCATTACTTCCCTAAATTCTATTCCACAGCAAACAGGAGAAATCCATACCAGCAACAAAGCCCGAGCCACTGCTCCTTACCCACCAGCCAGCTTCAGGGGGTCCTTCACCTTTGTTTCTGCAGCTACGACTAGGCCTGCCTCTGCCATCACATGAAGAAGGCTCAGAGAGGCCCAGCAGCTGTGGTTTCAGAAGTATGGCTGCAGAGACAAAGGACCCAGAAGAATAAATTCCTGGGCAGAATTGTCCTAGGATGCAGGTGAGGAACTGGGAGCCCCATGAGGAATACCGAGCTGGTGGAAATGTCCTCTACATACATGGCAAACTCATAAAGCAGGTGGTCCATGTGTGGAATTATGCAAATGACATGAATAGGAATTATTTCAAGATTGTTGCAAAACTGAATGTGAAAGGGCTCAATAAATATCTTTGATTTTCCACGAGAAGTCATCTCAATGGGAAAAAATGTCTTGACTCTCTTAATTCCATATAAGCATGAATATATGTCACAGTTTTCTTGGAAAAAATTGAGAGTTTCATGCCTGTTGCCCAGGATAACTTTTTTGTTTTTCGAGATGGAGTCTCGCTTTGTCACCCAGGCTAGAGTGCAGTGGCGCGATCTCGGCTCACTGCAACCTCCACTTCCGGGATTCATGCGGTTCTTCTGCCTCAGCCTCCTGAGTAGCTGGCATTACAGGTGTGCACCACGATGCCCGGCTTTTTTTTTTTTTTAATGGAGTCTCGCTCTGTCACCCTGGCTGGAGTGCAGTGGTGCGATCTTGGCACACTGCAGCCTCCGCCTCCCGGGTTCAAGCGATTCTGCTTCCTCAGCCTCCTGAGTAGCTGGGATTACAGGTGCATGCCACCACATCCGGCCTATTTTTTGTATTTTTTAGCAGAGATGAGGTTTTACTATGTTGGCCAGGCTGGTCTCCAGCTCCTGAACTCAAGTGATCTGCCTGCCTTGGCCTCCCAAAGTACTGGGATTACAGGCATGAGCCACCACACCTGGCCCCTAGGATAACTTTTAATGCCACCCTTTTCCATTCTCACAAGCATCTCAAAGGTTTGAATGATAAATGCTAAGGCCACCCTACTTACAGTGCAACATTGCAGGTCCATTCTTCCACCACTGCTATTTTCTCTTTCTATGTCTTTCGGTAAATACACATGCTGTTTCAAGACAGATTTGTGTGACTTTCCGATAATGGAGCAGTTGCCAGGTATAGACCCTTTCAAACTAAAGATAAGTGGAGCCATGAAGACATTTTTCTCAAGATGAAAAGTAGAGAATGAAGGCGTTCCTTCTTTCTTATGGTGTAATACCAAAGTTATGTAATAATAACCCATTAATTAGTTTGTCACGCTAGATGTGAGGTTCTTGAGGACAAAGGGAGAATATTACTTATCTTTCTATTGTCATGGGCAATTTATAGGCATGTAGCTGCAGTTGTAAATGAATGAATATAGCAATATATAAGGAGAGGGTTTATTTGAGCCTAATACCAAATAAACTTTGGAGGAGAGGGGTTGAGTATTAATACATAGCAGTGGGATAGATGAGGCAGGAAAAAAGAATTTTGGAGACTGTCATTTTTTTCTCTTTTCATCATTTAACTTTTTCCTAATTATAAAATATTACATTTGCATTGTGGAAAATTTAGAAAGAGAAATGGAAGAAGAAGAAAAAGAAGAAGAGGAGGAGGGGCAGGGAGAAGGAGAAGAAAGAGAAAGTGAAGGAGAACAAGAAGGAAAAAAATCACTCACTTCCCGGAATAATCATAATTCACTTTCTGTGGTATAGATGTCTTGTGTTTGTCACTCGTATTCACATATGTGTCAATGTGTGCCTGTATAGTCACATGATTTTTGGAATACAGTATCTTATTAGGATCACTGTAGTTATCAGCAAGCTGTTTCATAAAGTGCAGCTTTAGAATCAAGTGGAGAATTTATGTGAGTACCCCAAGTGGTGGGGGAGAAACTTGAAGAAATAGTGGGGATTATTTTTATTTTATTTGGGCTGAAGAATGTTCTTTCCAAGGATATTCTGCCTTTGACAGAGTCATTCGTCTCTAGGATCAAGTGAATACAGTAGGAACACTGAACTTGGAATCAGAAGATTGCTACATATATTCTGAATTAATCATTTACTTGTTGTCTGACCCTGGGTTAGTTTTTTAACCACTTCAAACGTCAGTTTTATCACTGTGGAAGTATCTATTCTTACCACATAACATCAATGTGAGACTCAAATGAAATCTGAAACATACTTGATAGTATCTAGAACATAGTCAGTAGGTGGTGGCTGATATAAACAGAGGTAGATATATTCTTTACAGTTCCTTATGGAATGGTGTTGATGGGGAAAACATAAGGTTTGGGACATGAAGATGGTTTGAGATTGTGTTTAGCCCACAAACGATGTGATTATGAAGCAATTCATTTAACTTATTTTGAGCCTTAGTCTCCTCATCAACTACTTGAAATCATTTCTATAATGAAATGTTAATGTAACAAATTTTACATAATAATGATGTTAGTTTTCTTACTGGGAAAGTTGGAAGCAGAAGGAAGAAGAGAAGAGGGAGGCGAAAAGAGAATATTCCATAATGCTATTCTGAAAGATAGATGAGAAAATGACATTTTATTACTAAATATCATCTCTCAAATCATGTACCTTCAAATTGAGGCTATATTTCTGTTGTTTTCAACCAGGGCTATAGGCCACAATCACTGAAAGAGTTAAAACAAACAAACAAACAAATAAACACGATGCCTGAGACCCAGTTGAATGAGAATCTCTGAGTGGTTGGGCTGGATATCATGATTTTAAAAGCTCTCAAGACCATTGTCATGGGCTGCCAAGGTTGAGAGCTGCTATGTGTCCATGCCTCCAAAGGAAGCTATTGGTGAGAAGCATGACTGATTTTTACAACTCAGGGGGCTTAGACAGGAAACTTGTTGATACCGCATGTTGGCAGGAAGATGGAAAAGCTGGGAATGGACTGATCAGAGCTGGTGGAGCCAACCTATCAATGGAAAGCAGCTTCCTCCAAAGTTACAGGGTGCTTTAAAGCGTAGAGTTCAAAGGCAGTTGTGTGCTCAGCTCAGCAGGGAAGGAAGGCCCCTATGAATTTCAGAGGTATAGGATCATTGCAATTCTGGGCATTCCTCCCATGTCTGGATGACTGCAGCACCCCCCTCCCTGGCTCCCTGTCTCTAGTCTTAACCCTCTCCAAGCTGTTTTCCACACAGTCTAGCAGTTTTTCTATTCTAGTATAACAGATTACCACAAGCACAGTGGCATAAAGAAACACCCATTTGTTAGCTCACATTTCTGTAGGCAAGGAGTAGCTGGATCTCTGCTCAGGGTCTCACTAGGTTGAAATCATGGTGTTGCTTGACTGTGGTCTCAGCTGGAACTTGGGATTCACTTCCAGGCTCATTCAGGCTGCTGGCAGATTTCAATTCCTTTCCATTGTAGGACTGAGGTGCCATTCCCTTGCTGGTTGTTAGCCAGGGGCCCTCTCATTTCCTACAGGCCATTCCCATTGCTTGTCACATGGCCCCAGCCAGCAATGGAGAATCGTACTTATATCCAATTTATCAAAAGAGCTCAGGCTGGGTGCGGTGGCTCACACCTGTAATTCTAGCACTTTGGGAGGCCAAGGCTGGTGGATCACTTGAGGTCAGGAGTTCGAGACGAGCCTGACCAACGTGGTGAGACCTCATCTTTACTGAGGCAGGAGACTCGCTTGAACCCAGGAGGTGAGGTGGGGGTTGCCGTAAGCTGAGATTGCACCACTGCACCCCAGCCCAGATGACAGAGAGAGCCTGTCTAAAAAAAAAAAGAAAGAAAGAAAGCTCAGTCCCTTTTAAGGGCTCACCTGATTAGGTCAGGCTCACCAAGGATAATCTCCCTATCTTAAAGTCAACTGATTTATGACCTTAATTACATCTGCAAAAATCTCTTCTATACACACACACACACACACACACACATATATACACACACACACACACATATACACACATACATATATATCTCAATTATATAATATATACTAACATACTAATATGTACTATATATAATATACACTAATAATATATAATATATACTAATATCCTATATAATACATATTATATATAATATATGTACTAATATGATATCTAATATATATCAATTATATCATAATATATGTTATGTTATGTTATGTTATGTTATGTTATGTTATGTTATATATTAGTGTTTACTTCAATAACCGAGAGAAGATATGGGTACACTTGGGCTGGGAATTTGAGGAACTATCTTAGAATTTTGCCTACCATATAGTCCTAATATATGCTTAAAACTTTTCAGTGGATGCTCTTCGCCTGCTGAATAAAGCCCATGTTCCTTAGCATGGCATCTAATACTGCATAATCTGGCTTATGTATCTACACTTGTCTCTAATTACTGTGTCCCTGCATCTCATTTCAACTACACTATATGTGCACCAATTTGTTCATATTTTTGTGGCTTTGTATACTATTTTGTTTCTTGATTTTGAGCTTTAGCTAATGCTATTTCCTGTGCTTAGAATGCCTTTCCTATCTGTATTCACATGAAAAACTGTTTGTGACCCAGCACAGCTTCATCTCCTCTAGGGACCTTTCTCTGGATTTATTCATTCACTAAGCAAATATTTACTGAGCACCTACTACGTACTGTCCTAGGCACTGGAGATATAGTAGTTAATCTGACGAAGTTGCTCTGTCTTGCAGAGTTCACCTTTTAGTTGGGAAAACAAGCAAAACACAAAAATAACTACACAATTTGTCAAATGGTGATAGTGCTATGAAAAAGAATAAAACAAAATAAAGAAAGAGGCAGAAAATGATGGGCAAGTTGTCATTTTATAAACCATCAACCTGTAATGCTTCTGTCATAGGTGACATTTAAGCAGAGACCTGAAGGAAGGCAGGGAGTAAACAGAAATATGAGGCAGAGCCTCAGGGGCTTTGCCCTTGCTGTTTCATTTTTTCTCCATTATTTGCTGAATGGATGAATGGGAAAGGGGGTGCAGGGAGTGTTCTAGGCAGAAGGAACAGGAAGGGCAAAGGCTCTGAGGCAGGAAGTCCTTCAATGCTCAGCTAATGAACATTAGGGATATATATTGATTTAGTACTGTAATTAGAACTGAAACTAGAAAGCTCTTGTGGTACAACTCTAGGGAATAATAAAGTACACTCGTCCGCCTTCTTTCTCTCTTTTCTTCTATTTCTGGTTCCACCACCCAGTGTCAGATTTGTTTTCCTTTCTTTGCTCTGAGGCTTTTTCTGCTTACTTACAGTGTCTATTGCTTCATGATTTTGCATTTCATGTGCCTTGCTATGAACCCAACTCTGCTTCATGGTGCTTTTTCTTCAGCTTTAATTTATACTACCAACTGGTATAGTCTGCCTGCATAATTAAATTCAAATTTAGGAGACAGAGAACTTAGTTATCCCAGCTCATCTTTCTTTTTTTTTTTTTTTTTTTTTTTTTTGAGATGGAGTTTCACTTTTGTTGCCCAGGCTAAAGTGCAGTGGTACCATTTCAGCTCACTGCGACCTCCACCTCCCAGGTTCAAGCGAGTCTCCTGCCTCAGCCTCCCGAGTAGCTAGGATTACAGGCATGCACCCCCACGCCCAACTAATTTTGTATTTTTAGTAGAGACGGGGTTTCACTATGTTGGTCAGGCTGGTCTTGAACCCCTGACCTCAGGTGATCTGCCCACCTCGGCCTCCCAAATTGCTGGGATTACAGGCATAAGCCACCATGCCTGGCCCTCATCTTTCTTTTAATACCAGCAAGCCAAAGGATTAGCTTGGCTCAGATGGTGACATTAGTGTAATTACCTGAACCCTGGATGAGGGTGAGAGGAGGGAAGAAAAGAAAAGGAATTGTGTTTTTAAAATATGGCTGCTTAGCTATCGGGGTTAGAGTGGACAAAAGTCCCTCGAAAGACAGTTTGGGTGAGCAGACACCAAATGACTTCTCTAATTCAGGAAATGAGACACATTCTTCAGGAAGATTGAAGGTTTACTGGGGAGCTTAACTGTCAGCACTAAGTACCAAGAATCAAGAGTAGCTTGTGGAAAAAAATAGAACCAATATTCAGGAGTGCAGCGAAGACAAGTTTGGAACAGGAGAAGGCAGTGAGCAGTTGGGGAAGGAGTCAAAGAAATATCACCAATGGAAGCTGATCTGTTTTCTTTTCAGAGGCTAGTATCTGCCACTACTTTATTGGGCAATGAAGGAAATAGGGCAAATTCTCAAGGCCATATACATATAAAGAGATGTATTAGACTAATCCAGGAGAAAAACTGCAGGGAAGCTGAGTGTTATTACAATGACAGTATGTTCTGGTCCTCATTCACTGAAGACTTACTTGGTGCCAGGCACTGTCATAGATATCAGGAATATGTCAATCCTTCCCTGCCCTAGACACTCCCTATCCCCCTTCCCTGATTTATCTTTGTTTCTCGAACTTTTACTTTCTGAAATACTACCAATTACACTTACTGATGTTTTATGTCACCCCTCGAATCTGAGTTCCATGGAGTCTAAGCTCCATGAGGGCGAGACATTTTCTGTTTTGTTCAGTGTTGTATTTGCAGCATCTAGAAAATGCCTTGTTCAGTCATTACTTGTTGAACAAATGAATGAATTGCATTATTTATCTGAGTTACTTGCACAGAACTGAAGAGATATCACATTTATGTCAAAAGGTGTCTGAAAACTAAATAATGATAATTACATGAATGTTATTGCACATGTAAGAACAGCACTTAAGGCAAATTTTTTTTTTCATTAAATTAAAGGAAAACAACTACACTCAAAGGTAAAGATGTAGTCATTGGCCCACTCAAGTGATTCAGTCAAGACTTACTGGTCTGCCATGAAAATTTGTACCTGAACCAGTACCTTTCAACACTCACTTCCTTTTCCCTCATTGAAAGGGAATTTGTTTTTAGCCCCTAAAATCTCAGTAGCTTAACTCAATACAACATATGCAATGCTGGGTTGCAGGAGGTTGCAGGAAGTCCTGTTTTTGTGAAGTTGCTCCAGCAGAGTCCATCTTTCTGAACAGAGATGTTCATGTGGACCTGATCCCCGGAGGCCCATTAAGCAAGACAAGCAAGTGCACCTATCTTCTAAAAACAACAGATTCTGGCTTTTTTTTTTTTATCTTATTATGAAGGAAATTCCATCATATCAGCCCAGCCACTGACCTTGAACACTCAGGCCTGGCAGGAGGAGCTGTGCACGGTGTCAACAGGCCCAATTTTTATAAATTCACTCTGTTCCTCATGGTGAATTTATAAATTCCTCATGGAGCAGGGTGAATTTATAAAATGTTTGCAGGCAGTAGTTGTAAAAGTAGGCAGTGCCAGGAAACAATTAAGACATTTCCTATTTCTCTCAAAATTTTTAAATTATAATTTCTGGGTAGACTAATTGACAAATTGGCTCATATAAGGAAAAGAAGTTTACTTAGACTATTAAGAAAGAATATTAAGCATTATAAAATTTCATTCTTTTTCATTATTATAAATATATGTCCACTATAAGTTTTCAAAAGAAAATACAGAAATGCACACAGAACGCAATTCAGCAACAAGGACTCAAAAAATATTTTCACTCACTTGTTTTTTACAAGGCAGAATGGTAGGTGCTAGGGATACAGCAGCAAGGAAAACATAGACTTCTTGCCCCCATGGAATACTATTCAGAGATCATAACTGTTAAACAGTTAAATGTGAAATTGAAATCAGTGTCTTTTGACTTGACTCCTGATTGTAAAGAACAGGGACCTTCTTTTATTTGCACACACACATTTAACTTTAGGACATTGAAGCAAATGGGCATGGCCATAGCTTACAGCTACTTTGGGTGTAGCCTATTCTCAAATCAAAGTCACTCTCAGAGTGCATCAGACCTTCCAAATCAAGACACATGCATTGGAATGATATCATAGGCTATGAAAAGCAAATAAACAGCTGCATCTGCAACATGTTTTTTACTAAATTAACATAATTCTTAGCTATATTTCAAATGTGTGGATGCCACCCATAGAAAATCAGCAGGCAAGTGAATCCTCTCAGTTTATTATAAAGTTTAATATTAAGCTAAATTCTTGACTGATGGTAAAACTAACATTGACATTAGCTAGATTCCAACTTTCAGGCAAAACAAATAGGTTTCACAGAGACCAGAGTTCATGTTCAGCCAAAAGCAGGGGAATCTCCTGTGTAAAAGTTGGTAAAATAACTCTTCCTTACTCTGTGAATTCTGTCATAATACTTTCTGTTACACTCTCATTTATTTGGTGGTTGGTACTAGAACTTCTCAATTCTTATCAGGTCAAGTAGAGTCCAGATATAGACCAAATGTAATAATAAATTAAAGTGGATCAACTTTTGTTTTTATTTTTTAAACTATTTATATGCGTATACTAATATTAACAGATAAATTGTAAAGTTAGAAAGAGAATGCTAAGAAGAATATAATGGCTGTGTTGTCATGTCTTGTTTGTATTTTTAGCTTTTCTCTAAGAGTTTAAGTCAAGAGGATCATTCAATACATTGGGGAATGGGAATTAGAAGGTAGCTGATTCAGGGAAACTAAATACCAGGTTGGAGACACCTTTGGCGGTGAGGACACCTAAATACCAGGTTCCGGATCCACAGTGCTGACTCATTCTCTGAGTTTCTTAGCTGAGTTTTTTTTTTCTTTCTTTTTTTTTTTTTTTTTTAATTTCAGAGCCTAAATGGATTGTTCTCCATCGAGAGCTGAATTCTACCTCAATCTGTCTTTAGCTATTGAGTGAATTTTCATGGTTCAGAAATCATCTTTTTAAAATTATGATTATAAATTAAATGCTAGGGACACTCAAAAAGAGTAGACTGTCCGTTCAGAATATTGAGGATTGGAAAGAGTGTTACTTGAATTACTGGGGTGTACTTTTTCCTGGTGCTGCGCAACTGGGCTTTGCATCCGCTGAGTATCTGCCCTTCTCCAGAAGAGGCTGCCTTTCTCTGACAGTGGGAAGGTATTTCCTTGCCTGTGAATATGACTGAGGATGAAGTATATTAAGATATTCAGGCTCACCTGGTGTCATTCATGAAGGAGTCAGCTGCCCACATTCTGAAGACTTAAAGTGGCACTCCTGGAAGTAGCAGCTGGTGTGCATGTGGCTGCTAAACACTCACATCAGCCTAAACTGCAAAAATAGAAAGTACCAACACCAAAAATTAGCTTTGCATTTGGATGGAGGGCACAGTTTTCACTTCTCTTTAAGGCTGATTAATTATACAATTTACATGTAGCAATCACTTGTAAATTATAAGCAGCAGGCAACAGATGATACTGTAACTGTCGCTCAATAGTAATTTTTAGAGAGAGGCTTTCAAAATAGAATTGGTTTATCAAACAATGTAATTAAACAGGCTTCAAAAAGAAAATATTTAAACTCTCCTTATTGCCCTACTTTACCCTTTCCTATTTGGCCGAGGGAAGTCCTTTCTTAGGGGTTGTAACTATTGATTTCCAGGTGGATTCCAATGTTGCCCTTTGATGTAACATGACTTTATAGGTGCTACATGATATGCAAAAATGACCTTAGTGTGTTCCAAATCTAGTAAGTTTTAAAATTTTTCTTTTTTATGTCATCTATGTTTTTAAAATCATAGAAACTTAAAAAGCGAATTGAGGGAGATCTCATCCAAGGAAAAAATCTTATCAGGGGTCATGAACCAGTAAAACTTTATGCCAATCAAACATCAAAAATCATTACCAACATAACAACAGCAACAAAGCCAAACATGTTTCCACACTAGCTAACCAATTGAAATATACCAATACTACAATATATAAAATTCCTACAGGTTAAATTTATACAGTATTTTGATAAGCTGATTCAAATTTTGTATTTAACTATGAGAATGAAATAAAAATATAACAGCAAACAAAATTATATTTCTCCTGTACTCTACACTCACCCTGAGAAAAGCAGCATCTTTAAAAAAAAAAAGACTTGAGTGTAGATGGTGAAGAAATGTATGGTTTTCTTGTGACTTAGCAGCATTCTGACCTGTAATGTGTTAGGGATGCAAAATCGTTTATGATTATTAGTTAGCATTATTACCTAAGACTGTTTTGAGTTAAATTGGAATGCAGTATCAGCAGCTGGCAGTGAATGAAGAATATTCACAAACAATTTGTCATGCACTCCACTCCCTGGAATGTTCCATCTTTCTCATGACACACCTACCCTCTTGCCTAGGATGCTCCACACAGACACTGGAAAAAAATAACCCTGGAACATAGCTAGTGATGTTTGAAGTTGTTGACAGTTAACAGAATATGCTCTAAATACCCTTTATAAATAAATCAACTCTTTCTTGGGTTTAAAAATAATCTATATCATTGTGGTATATTGGTGAACAGCAGAGTCTTTGGAGCCAGACAATCTTGGGTTTAATTTAAATCCTTCCTTTGTCACTACTTGTAGTTGATCTTAACTAAGTTATTTGAACTTATTAGATGTGAGTTTCCTAATCTAAATAAATGTGAATCATACCTGTTTCATAGGGTTTTGCCTAACATAGTAGCTTGCATAAAATTGGCAAGTTAGAATGATTAACTGAGATGATTTCTGGCTATCCACCTGTCTGTTTCTCTCTGTCTCTGTCTCTGTCTGTCTCTCTCTCTCTCTCTGTCTCTCTGTCTCTCTCTCTCTGTCTCTCTCTCTCTCTCTGTCTCTCTCTCTCTCATCTATCTAGGGATGTATGTGTGTGTAAACATGTGAATACAGTATCTGCTTGGCAAGAAGTCAATACAAGATGTTACATAATGGCCTTAGGGCCTTTCTTCTTGCTATTCTCAATCTGTAATTCTTCTCTCCACATTTTTCAGCTGTCTTGTAAAGTTCTTATTTGCAAGCGACAGAATCCAGCTCTGGGTAATATTAAGAGAAAAGTAAATGCAGATGTTCAGGCTCACCTAGTGTCATTCATGAAGGAGGTAGTGTAAATTTGGTATTCCAGAAACATACTGCTGGAGGTAGTGTAAATTTGGTATTTCAGAAAGTTGGTAAAACCACTTTAGAAAACTTTTGGCATTGTCTGTATTGGATACATTCAGAGTCTATGATCTAGCAAGTCTATTCACATTTACAAACACCATAGAAAAATGTATATATGTGTACCAAAAGGTATAGACAAGGATACTTATAGCTGCATTGTTTGTAACAGCTTCAAACTGAAAACAATACAATGTCCATCAATAGTGAAATGGATAAATTGTGATATGTTCACACAATGCAATGCTACCCAACAATGAAAGTGAGTGAATGAGAGCCATACACAATGGCATGATGAATCTCAGAAACCTAATATCAAGTAAAAGATTGCAGATCCAAAGAATAAATCCTGTATAATTTCATTTGTGTAAAGTTCAAGAACAGGGGGAGAAAAATGATGGTTTTAGAAATCAGGATAGTGCCTTCCTTTGGAGTAATGACTCATAGGAGATGTGGAAGAGTTTCCACCAAGATAGGGTCTTGGTTGGCCTTCAGGTTGCTGAGCAGGAGGCCACTTGCCCCAGGGAAGGTAGAGATAGTATCTCTGTCCTCGTTGGCCCAAGAGGTCTGGGAAGGCATAGACTGCCTTGCTTGGAGATGTGAGAGGAAAGTCAGTCCCACTAAGGGATATGAGATGATTCCTTGTCCTGAAACATGCCCTATGTGTGCTTTAAAAATTTTTACCTTTCATAATAAAATTTCAAATAAAAATGTCATTGGCATTCATCCTCTCTACTAAAATAAATATTACTATCAATTTCTTTTTGTTTCTGAGAGGGAGAAGCTAGCATTTGTGTGGTACTTTACATTCTAGTTTGAAAGTCATGCTCATATGCTTTATCTCATGGAGTATTGCTTTGAGAACGAAACCAAAGTCAAGAATGCCTCTGCCACTGTGTCTTACCAGAATGGCCATTCCCAATAAAACTATGAGCTGATTAGGGCAGGTAAGAGAAATGGTAGTAGGGTTTTTATTTCTTTTTAAAAAATCAGAGAGAAAAAAAGTCTCAAACCCAGATCTGATGCTGAGTTTTGTGCTCTTCAATCCGAATGAAGTTTGGATAATGGATCACATTTTCTAATAAATAAAACAGCTAGTTTAACAATTAAAAAGTAAATGAGGCCAGGCACAGTGGCTCATGCCTGAAATACCAGCACTTTGGAAGGCCAAGGTGGAAGGATTGCTTGAGCCTGGGAGTTCGAGACCAGCCTGGCCAACATAATGAGACTCTGTCTCTACCAAAAGAAAAAAAAATAAATAGCTAGTTGTGGTGGCACGCACCTGTGGTCCCAGCTACTTGGGAGGCTGTGGTGGGAGGATCACTTGAGCTCAGGATGTTGAGGCTGTAGTGAGTCTTGTTTGTGCCATTGTACTCCAGCCAGAGCAACAGAGTAAGGCTCTGTCTGAAAGTGAGCACACAATGCTGTGGGATGAACTCTACAGCAGGTGCTGCCCTGGGCACATCCACATAGGAGTCACCTCTAGTCTTATTCTAAAGTCAGCCCAGGGAGGGCTCTCCTGTTATCAAGAGAAGCACATCTATTGATAGGTCCATAACTGCTTTTGTAAAACACTATTTTCATTCCTAAGAATTATAATCATAATGAAATACCTAAAATAATGTTAATTACATAGACAGTACTTTTAGGAGTATTTATTTGCTTGCCCCATTAGACTGGAGATCAAAATGGAAAGGCCTACTTTTGGCTTATAAATCACTGTGGTGTAAAACATGTAATCAGGGAAAACCAAGACCCAGTCATAGAGCAGATGCAATCTGGGGTGCCCCACTGCACCTGCCCTCTCAATTGCAGTCACTGGTTACTCCTGTCTCCTCTATTTCCTACCAAAACCTGATTTTAAAAGTTTATTCTCCCTCAGCCACTTTCTCCTTAGTGTGAATAAAAACCAATGTGCCATCTCTCCCAGGGAATTTTGCACATTAAGCCTTTTGCTAATTATTCATCACAGAATGAGCATCTCCCCGCACCTCACCATCAAGAAAGTTCAGGTTCAGGTAATCAATGGGTGGGGCATCTTTAACCTTTGCACTTATAATTGCCCCACCTGTCTACTTCCTGAGTGAATTATGCCAATGGATTATCACTCCATTTGGCATGTCATCTGCCAACTTGCCCCACTTAATTTCTAGTAACACAGAAATTTTTAGGAAGACTAGTTAAGGTCTATATTTTTTGGAAATGTTACTACTATATATGCTTCTTAGAAATATTAGTGTAATTCTGAGCAATCTTTTAGCTTCAAGGAGATTACGGTATCTTCCACACTATGTTCAGAGCTGTTTGTCTTACAAGAGTTAGTAAAAAAAAAAAAAAAAAAAAAAGTGAATCCAAGAGTCACTATAAGAAAGATGTAAGATTATCAGCCAAAATTCATATGCTTGTGAAACAGAGAAAGCCCTGAAAATGGGAGAACAAAGGCTTATTCTCTTTTCCTTAAAAGTTACATGTAACTATAAAGATGCATGGATATTTCTTGTTTTTTATTATTTTAGCATTTCATAGAATTTATGCAAATATTGATTGATATAATCTTTGAGAACAGAAATTTTGTTTGTCCGTATAGTCTCAGAATCCAAAGCTTAACTTCAGCCTGTAGTTAGAGTATTGACAGGTGCATGGACCACATGAAGCTCCTGAGTTTTTAGACAGATTGTTTTTGGTGATTTTGGAATCCAATTTGACTATCTCTGTCACTTGTATTTTACCTGAGCTCCTGATTTAGGAAAAGTGCTGCAATGTATCAAGTACAGTTTGTCATAGGACTCTAGCATTAAGATACATTTCACTTAGATGGCCATGAATGCCAAGGCAATTATATAGACGAACCAGTTTTTAAAACTGAATTTTGTCAATTACTTTTTTTTGTTGTTGAGACAAAGTCTCATTCTGTCGGCCAGGCTGGAATGCAGTGGCGGGATCTTGGCTCACCGCAACCTCTGCCTCCCGGGTTCAAGTGATTCTCCTGCCTCAGCCTCCTGAGTAGCTGGGACTACAAGCACGTGCCACCATGCCTGGCTAATTTTTGTATTTTTAGTAGAGACAGGGTTTCGCCATGTTGGCCAGGCTGGTCTTGAACTCCTGACCTCAGGTGATCCACCTGCCTTGGCCTCCCTAAGTGCTGGGATTACAGGCATGAGCCACTGCGTCTGGCACAGTTACTTTTTTCACTGCTCACCAACAGGATTGATGATTGTCTTGCCTGTGCTTTGGTGTCTAGAAATGCTTTCCCTTTCAACAGAGCTGGCTTCATTAATTGCAAGGCCCCTTGCAAAATGTAAATGCAGAATCCTTTGTCCAAAAAGAAGGGAAAAAAATGTCATTCAACATACTGAAATGTAAAGTGCTTTTTTTTCTTCTGTAGTCTCTCTCTCAAGTTGTCATGGTGTTTTTTTAATTTGCTATTTGTTGTCATTCTAAGAAAAATCAAAATTTAAATTAATATGAATTTTATCATTCATCTTTATATTGTACAATGTCAGCTTTGAATGTAAATGTAAGAACATTTAATTCATATCCAGAATCACTGAAATTATACAATTTACATTTTGTAGCTCATACATGCATATGTATTTCATTCTTACCAGAATAGTGGACGTGCTGTACAACTGACTCAACAGTGTTTATTACACTTCTTGATACACGTAGATTCTACCAACACTTTCTACTTTTGGCTAATATTGATGAGTAAATAAAGACTAAAAGGAAAAGGACTATATATTTCCTTATCATTTTTTACCTTCTATGTCACTGTTTTCAGCATAAGTGACTAATACAATAAAGCAACATAAATTAAAAAGTATATGATAAGGTTCCTTGGTTGTTTGTATTTCTTATAACACCACTGCTTTCCTATTGCCTACGAAGCAAGTTCTGGTTCAAGTGGAAAGCATGATCTCTTGGAGTTGTCAGCATCCTTGTTTACTCAGTTGAAGATACCACCTTGTACTTGCTTTGAGTCTTCCTGAACTCCCACACATTGTGATTTCACTGGAATTGTATGCTTACAGGACACTGCGCACACTATATTCAAATGGGGTGGCAAGTAGCAACAGACATGCACGTGGTACTCACCCCTCTGCTCATGTGCATCCTCCATTGTTCCATCCACCTTCACTTATAAAGCCAAGTTTAAGAATACAGTTATTAAGAATTTTTAAATGGCAACAACATAGCATTATACCAAGTGGGGGCCCAGCTGAGGACCAAGTTCAGTGCTATTGTGCTGATCAAGCATTCACAGAGCTGGTGAATGAACTATTGCAATGGTAACTTGTTGCCAAAATGTCATCCAGAAGGGCATCCTAGTATAATTTATTTATATCTGCATTATTTATTCACACCACCTGTGCACATTTTGTTCTTTTGACATGGAACAAAAGCAGCATACCTTATTCTAAAAGATGAAACCCTGCCTTGCCCATCAATATACAGGTTTTTTTGCCTTTGATAGGTACCTTTCCTTGCCCATTCTCCACCCAAACTCTAAAGGCACCTTCATGCTGTTCTTTTATTTTTTATTTTTTGGACCACAAAGACACAAGACTAACATGGATCTGAATACATGAGGAAGATGAAGTGAGGGCATTCACTAAGCACAGGCATAGAGCCAAGTCATATAAAAGAAAACTTGAATTTTGTTCTACAGTTAGTTGTGGGAAACTGACTGATTCTCCTGAATCTGACCTCTTTGTAAACTCAGATCCCATCATCTTGTTTTAGCTCCCAGGATCCTGCCTGATCTCTGGGCTTCCAGCCTCCCAGCCTCAGACTGTTTTTTTGTTTTCTTTTGGGTTTTTTTTTTTTTTTTTTTTTTTTAGTTTTGCTCTTTTTGCCCAGGCTGGAATGCAGTGGTGTGATCTCGGCTCACTGCCAGCTCCGCCTCCCAGATTCAAGCAATTCTCCTGCCTCAGCCTCCCAAGTAGCTGGGATTACAGACATGTGCCACCACACCTGGCTAATTTTTGTATTTTTAGTAGAAACGGGGTTTCACCATATTGGTCAGGATGGTCTCAAACTCCTGACCTCCAGTGATCTGCCCACCTCGGCCTCCCAAAGTGCTGGGATTACAGGTGTGAGCCACCACACGCAGCCTCAGACTCTTCTAATACATTCTTTACCATGACACCAATGTGATCCTTATAGGGCACATAGTCATCCAGACGTTCCTTGCCTAAAATATTTTTCTTGCTCTCCCTTGCTCTTAATTATCTTCATGATAATTAAGGTCCTTCATGGTTTAGCCCTGTCCAACTCTCCAACTTCCTACGTATCCTATGATCTTTCAGACAATGTGCAATTACTCAAATGTTTGCTCTCTCTTTCCTTTCTATTTGTGTATTTACCCACTGCCTAAAAAATTTTACTCTCTTTTCTTTGCCTGCCCCTCTCTTACTTGTCTTTTAAGAATTATCTTAGGAATCCATCCTTTTCTTTCTTTAACTATTCACTTTTTATTCAAGAAGTATTTGTTGAGTACCTGTGATAGGCCAGGTGCTGTGCAACAGTTTTGGGATATAGTGATGGACAAGAACAGAAAAGCCCCTGACCCGGGGGAAGCTGAGAGTCATCCGTGGTGGAGACAGATCATATATGCTTTCTCTTGAAAAGTCACGCGAATACGTGTACCAAAAAAAAAATGCCCAAATTAATTAAAATTACGATAAGGGTCACAAAGGAGAAATGTTTTCTGGAATTAGAGCATAGAAGCAAGTCAATATAACCCAGTGGAAATTACAGTTGAGCTGGATACTAAAGGGAAGATTGGATTAATTTAGAAAGGAAAGTGAAGAGTTGGATGCCAGGAGGTGGATCTGTGTTTTTGTTGTTGTTGTTGTTGTTTGTTTGTTTGTTTTTTTATTGGAAGAGAGAAGAGCATAAGGAGAGGTTCTGGGACAAGAGAGAACTTGATATTCAAGGTGCTAAAAGAAGGAGGAAAATGGTGCAATATAAATTGGAGAGGTAGGAAGAGGCCTGGCCAAGAAGGACCTTCTAAACCAAAGTGAAATTTTAGTCTGTATCTAAGAGCAGTGGGAAACTTCTGAAGTGTTTGGTTTAAAGGGGAGGAGAACAGAGTGGAAGGATCACACTTCAAAATTTTTTAAAGAGCTCTCTCAGCCATCATATCGAGAACAGATCTGAGGGGAGCAAGAATGGAAAATCTTCCACATTTCCAAGGAAGAGTTGTTTATGAGGGAAAGTAGAAAGAAGTGGGAGTTACCACTTCTATAAAGATTTATTGATTTCCCTAACCCTTACCCCCTCTACCTTCAACTCTGGATTAGAACTTCGTTCCTGTGTTCCAGTGGAACCCTGTGTTTATTTCATTTAATCTACACAACAACCTCGCCCAATGGTCATTAGTAGTATCTCCACTTGGTGTATGAGAAAGTTTAAGGTTTGGAAAGGTGTAGCAACATGCCCAAGTCTCTGCGAGTAGTAGATGGTAGAGCCAAGACCAATGAGAAGGGGAGATGAAGGCATGAGAAGGAACAGAGGGATAAATAAGTATAGTGTATGCATGGGAGACAGTAGAAAATTTTAGCTGTAACAAAAAGTTAAAGTTGAGATAGGAAGACAGATTAAGGCCAAAATGTAGTGCAAAATGTACACAAAGAATAAGGCATTTAAAAGCAGAGCTCAAAGGTGGTGAATGCTGTTTGTGCCTTTTGGTTCTGAGCGATACCCTAACCTAAATTAACTGTCTCTCCTTGCCTGTCATCCGCACTCTTACCATGTCCTTCCCTTTTCCTGTAATCCTAGCAAGATTCTATACTCTTTGGTGCACTTCCTCGCTCCTCTGCTTCCTAGAAACGTGCCAGTAATCTAGCTCCACTTCCATTTCCAACCAATGGATAAGTTCCCATGATTTCTTCAGTCTGTCCCCTCCTCTCTAGTCTTTCTGCTACTTTGCTAGTGCCGATATCCAGACATTAGCCTACCTTTCCTTGTTGTGGTACCAGCAGCCTAAATAGTTGCCTGGTTTGCAGTCTTTTGTCCCCTCAAACACATCCTCCTCTCCACGAAGGAAATCCACTGAAACATTGTTAAAAGAATCTTGTGGTTCTTGCCTTGCAACATCTCTCACCAACCCAGTCTCACTTGGGAAGATCTAACAGCACCAGATTATTTGTGGTTCACAAAAAAACTATTTTTAACTGCTTTTATAAAAAGCAGTTCTTTTTATTCCATACCTCTTTTCTTGCACTCGTGAGATTTCCTCCTCCTTAAACAGCATACATCTCTTTTCATATCCTCAGACCTGCCATCCTCTCCCACCCCACACCACTTTATTGTCACCTAACTTTTATTCTGTCCCCTTATACTCAGCTCCAGGGTCATCTCCTCCTGGAAGCCTCCCAGCAACAGGGGGTTCCTTTGTGTTAGATGCTCCTCCTTTTGCTCCCCCTGCATCTTCTGCATACCTCTAGCCTTAATATGTACCACTTCTTTTAAATAGAATTTGTTCACCTCTTTCCCCAACTACACTTTGGGGAGCTCCTTGAGGGTAAGGCATAAGATATCTCCAGTGCCTGCTCAGCACTGCCATGCAGAACCCCACCCCTTCAGATGTCTGCATCTGATTTGTCACTGGTCACTGCAACACCCTCTCCCCAGTTCATTGGAAAACCTTTCCTACACTGACTACCTTCTGCCCCGAGTTGTTTTCACCCATATTGAAGCCCTTTTTTTTTTTTTTTTTTTTTTTTCCCCTAGGATGCCTTGTATTCGTTGGCTAGGGCTACCATAATATAGTACCACAGTCTGGGGATCTCAAGCAATAGAATTATTTCCCCTCATATTTCTGAAGGCTAAAAGTCTGACATCAAGGCATGGGCTGTATTGGTTCCTTCTGAAGCCTTGCAGATGGGTGTTCTTTTCGCCAAGTCTTCACATGGTCTTTCCTCTGTACATATCTGTACGCTAATCTCCCCTTCTTATGAGGACACCAGTCAGATTGGATTAGGGCCCACCCTAATGACCTCATTTTAACTAATTACCTCTTCAAAGACCCTACATCCAAATACAGTCATATTAATATTTGTCATATTCTGAGGTACTAAGAGTTAAGACATATGAACTTGGAGGGAAAGTAATTTAACCCATAAAATGCCTCTTACCCGTTAATACCTTTCCCCAAACCTGCTGCCAGTCTCAAGCAGCTCCCACCTGCAGAGATGCAGGTTACAGCGTCCCTGCCTCCCTCTTTCCCTGTTATTGAAAGCACTCTTATGAGCTGTTTGCATTTGGACTCCCTAGTTCTGGGATTTTGTTTATGAAGTTGACCTCCAGTGATATATGGGAACTAAGGAAAATTATTTCTTCTTCTATGTGATGCTTTCACATGTCTGAATAGATGACTTCCTATTTTCATTTCCCTTCTTATTTTTCCAAACGCCTATAGAATCTAGAGTTTATATCATACAAGTGAATAGACTATTGTGCGCTGTAATATCACATGTCATGGTTTGACATTCCAAAGAGATGCATAAAAGATTGTTGATTGTTTTCAGACAAATAAAGAAGATTGGATCTTCCTTTTTATAACAAATAAAATAAAATATAAATTATATACTATACTTTTTATTGCTGAAGAAATGAGCCACAAAGAAGTTACATGTCAAGTAAGTGTCAAAGCCAGTTTTCAAATTCAGGTCTTCAGACTGCAAAGCCAACAATGTGCTTTTCACTATATCATTATCTTATTTATAAGGAACTTAGAAGCAGACATAAATGTATTTCATAAGCACTTACTTTTATAAGCCTATGCTTATTTTATTAACTCGATTACTTTTTAAAAATATTTAAAATATTTGTTCATTGTTGAAACTTTCATTGTATGTTTTATTTTAAAAAAATTTATATTTATAATTATGGTTTATAATAGAAAAGTATTGGATATGTTTACAATTTAAAAGTAAACATACTCATTTAAACTAACAAACTTCTAAATAATCTATTTTGTACCTTTTATAATTTTTATAATTGTTGTGCTTTTTATTTAAGCATTTAAAAAATAATTTCAACTTTTAGTTTTAGGGGTACATGTGCAGGTTTGATACATGGGTGTATTGCATGATGCTGAAGTTTGGGGTAAGAATGACCTTATCACCCAGGTAGTAAGCATAGTACCCCATACGTAGTTTTCCAGCCTCTGCCCTCCTTGCACTCTCCCCACTCTGGTAGTCCCCAGTGTTGGTTGTTTCCATCTTTATTTCCATGAGTACCTAATGTTTAGCTCCGACTTGTAAGTGAGAACATGTGGTATTTGGTTTTCTGTTCCTGTGTTAATTCGTTTAGGATAATGGCCTCCAGCTGCATTCATGTTGCTGCAAAGGACATGATTTCATTCTTTTTATGGCTGTGTAGTATTCCATGGTGTATATGTACCGCATTTCCTTTATCCAGGCAGCTGTTGGCAGGCACCCAAGTTCATCGCAAGTCTTTGCTATTGTGAATAATGCTGCAATGAATGTATGTGTTCATGTGTCTTTTTAGTAGAATCATTTATTTTCCTTTGGATATAGACTCAGTAAGGGATTACTGGGTTGAATGGTAGTTCTGTTTTAAGTTCTTTGAGAAATCTCCAATCTGCTTTCCACAGTGGCTGAACTAATTTACATTCCCAACAACAGTATATAAGTGTTCCCTTTTCCCCACAGCCCTGTCAGCACTTGTTGTTTATTGACTTTTTAATAATAGCCATCTGACTGTTGTGAGTTGGTATCTCTTCGTGGTTTTGATTTACATTTCTCTGATGATTAGTGATGCTGAACATTTTGTCACATGTTTGTCGGTCACTTGTATGTCTTCTTTTGAGAAGTGTCTGTTCCTGTCTTTTATCTACTTTTTAATGGGGTTATTCAGTTTTTGATTATTGAATCAAGTTTTTTAAAGATTCTGGATATTAGAACTCTGTCAGATAGTTTGTGAGTCTTTTCTCTCATTCTCTAGGTTGTCTGTTTACTCTGTTGATAGTTTCATTTGTTGTGCAGAAGCTCTTTAGTTTAATTAGGCCCCACTTGTCAATTTTTGCTTTTGTTGCAATTGCTTTTAAGGACTTAGTCATGAAGTCTTTGCCAAGGTCAATGTCCAGAATGGTGTTTACTAGGTTTTCTTCTAGGATTCTTATAGTTTGAGGTCTTACATTTAAATATTTAACCCATATTGAGTTTTGTATATGGTGAAAGATAGGGTCCAGTTTCATTCTTCTGCATATGGCTAGCCAGTTATCCCAGCACCATTTATTGAATAGGGAATCCTTTCCCTATTACTTATTTTTGTCAGTTTTATCGAAGATCAGATGTTCATAGGTGTGCAGCTTTATTTCTGAGTTCTCTGTTCTGTTCCACTGGTCTGTTTATATTTCTGTTTTTGTACTAATACCATGCTCTTTTGGTTACTGTAGCCATACATCATAGTTTGAAGTTGGGTAAGGTGATGCCTCCAGCTTTGTTCTTTTTGCTTAGAATTTCCTTGGCTATGCAGGCTCTTGTTTGGTTCCATATGAATTTTAGGATAATTTTTTTTCTATTCCTGCAAAAAATTGTTAGACATTGTTAGTTTGATAGGAATAGCATTAAATCTGTAGATTGCTTTGGGCGGTATGGCCATTTTAATAATATTGATTCTTGAAATCCATAAGCGTGAAATGTTTTTCCATTTGTGCCATCCATGATGGCACATGATGGCACATGATTTATTTCAGCAGTGTTTCGTAGTTCTCCTTGTAGAGATCTTTCACCATCTTGGTTAGATGTATTCCTAGGTATTTTACTAAATTTTGTGGCTATTGTAAATGGGATTGTGTTCTTGATCTGGCTCTCAGCTTGAACATTATTGCTGTATAGAAATAGTACTGATTTTTGTACATTCATTTTGTAGCCTAAAACTTTACTGAAGTCACTTATCAGTTGTAGAAGCCTTTTGGTAGAGTCTTTAGGTTTTTCTAGGCATAGAACCATATTGTCAGCAAAGAGAGATAATTTGACTTGTTCTTTTCCTATTTGTATGACTTTTATTTCTTTATATTATCTGATTTCTCTGGTTAGGACTTCCAGTACTATGTTGAAAAAGAGTGGTGAGAGTGGGCATCCTTGTCTTGTTCCTATTCCTAAGGGGAATATTTCTAGCTTATTTACATTTCTATAAATTTTTATATTACTTATAAATAAATATTTTTATATAAAATTCTTATAAAATTAGCAAGGAGCTAAGTTACAGTACTTAGAAAATATTTGCTGATTGACAATAGGTGAGGAAATCTATTTATTAAATTATAATAGAGATTCAGTGATACCTGCTATTCTACTCTGAAGAAGGCACCAGGGAAGACTAACAAGAAAATATTTTTTATTAACATGAAAAATAATAGTAGCACTTATTATGTAAGTTTATTTGCTGGACTGAATTTTAAAGTCCTCCAAGCAAGCCTATGATATAGGTACTATTCCATTTTACATTTGAGGAAACTGAGGCTTAGCAAGGCTCATTAACTTATTCACGGTCTCAAAGGTAGTAAGCTATGGAGCTGACATATTTCCGACCCCATGCTCACTGTCTCACTGTGACACAAGCTGAAGAAATTACAGGATAGAGACATAGTCAGCGATTACTCATTGAAACCAGGAACATATTGGGTACAGGCACTTGAAGCCAGTGAAGCTCATAAAAGGGACATTGGTCATCTGACACTGAGTTACTTCACCTCTGTGGTGTTTAGTTCTAACTTATAAATATGAGGCTGATGATGGCAGTTCCTCAGGGATTTGCTGTTAAGCAAAAAAGAGTTGGATGTGTGTGTGTACATACATATGTACTATATCTCTAAATACATATATATGGTACATATATATGTACTATACCTCTAATATATATACATATATAGTACACATGTACATATGTATATATGTATAAATATATAGTACATATGCGTGTATATTAGAGATAGCTGTATAAACCAGTTCAATCCTCTTGAAAAGCAATAATTGGATAGTAAATAAAAAGAGCCATAAAAATGTCTATATTTTTGGCCTGGAAATCCTACTTCTAGAAATATATTCTAAGAAATGATTCAAAAGGCAAAAAAAAAAAGAGCATATGTAATTACAGGGAGAAAATGGAAATGATAAAAATATATATCAAGATACAAAATACATTATAGTCTATGCTGATGGAACATTGTATAGTCACTAAATATTACAACTCTAGAGACTATGCAACGAGACAAAATATGTAATATGTGATGCTATGTGGATACAAGAGGTTAATACAAAGTGGTGTTCTAGCTTAATACACATGTGTTTGGATAAAGCCTGGCAGAAAACTCCAAGATATGTGAGTATGGTGAAGGGAATGTGGTGTCTTCTTTCAGAAGTCCCATTAATGTGGAGTGTTTCTTGTTTTAATGTTCTTTGTAATTGTAGCCTGGTGGTAAGTACAGGTGGTGCTGAAGATGCATGAAACATGGGGAAGGAAGGTAACCGCACAAGGGACATTTTAAAAATCAGCATGTAAAACAACCAGGAAATAGAAATTTAAAGGCAAAAATTTAGCAGAGCATTCAAGGGAAATGGGTACTGAGGGAGGTGCTGAAGAATACATTAGCAGGTCAGGCTCTAACAAGATCCTGCCAAAAAAAACTGGAAACCCAGAATGCTTGTGAGTTTGTTCTCCCCTGTGACCTTCTTTCTGCTGGCAAGCCCGTGATAATAGCCCAAAAGGAAGGAAGAAAGTGTAGCAGTATGTACAGTTTACCTAAGTTCACCAAAAACTGTACTCGACTGTAGAAAAGGGAGGAAGTCTGGTCAAGCCTGAGTGAGTCAACATTTAATCGCCCTCCACCCAGTTCTCCTCCCTTCCCAAGGCCACCTCAGCTTTATGTCTGTGTGCTTGACCCTTCCAAGGGAGGAACTCCAGCTGTGAGGGGAGGGACCAGCCCAAATCCCTATTGGTTGGTCTCAACAACCAGGTTGAGGGGCCAGAGAGAGCATGGACCAGGACAGTGGTGATGATCTACATCACATCCCCTTTTAGGAATTTTCTTTTTCCTCTGTTTCCTCTGAGTATTTGAAAGGTCACAGCTCTCTCCATATCCTAGGCCCCAGAAAGAGCCCGTAGCCTTTGAGCAGTGTGAGGAGCAACCAAAGTGCTTTGTCATCAGTTTGTTGAAAGCTCTCTACCGATGCAAGGTACAGTTATTTTTGCTCCTTAAATAATGAGTGACAGGATGAGGTTGGAGATGGGAATGGCAATCTTTAAGGTAGAATCTGCTTCCATCTCAAAACAGAACACACCGTTACTACCCTTGAGGTGAGGGGAGGAGGAGCAGGCATTGGATGGATGTGAACATCCTTGTTTTATATGGAGTATAAAATCAAGACTTCTGTGAGAGGAGGCATTCTTTCAGAACTATTAGGATAATTTGGGCTGCCTGGTGACTCAGCCTTAAGCAGATGCCACTTGGTCTGATCCCACTGCTCAATCAACTAGCTGAGCTTGCCAGATGATCCTCACATCTTTATTTCTTAAAAACCTTGATTATCGCTTTCCTTTTGCACCAGAAGTTGCTCTTATATTTCAGGCATCAGGATAAACACTGAAGGTAGTAATTACAGTTCAAGGCCTTAACAACTTCTTTGGTCTCCTTTTAGGGGTCCAATCTGGAAAGATAACACCAGATACCTTTCACATAGAGATTTCTGAGAAGTTCTGTAGCTTTTTGGAGTTCTGTAGCTCTGAAGTTGTTATGGGAAGAAGATAAGGGGACAATTACCCTCATTTTCCAGAGATCTGGAGAGGATGGCTGGTTTGCCTGAGGCTTCAACAACTTTTCTGTAATTCCCTGCTAGTCTCCTTATTCCAAGTCCATCCTCAGCGTCCACACCCCCACATTCAGCAAATGGTGAGTTAGTGTGAAACACTGTTAAGCATCAGTCACCCAGACTGTGTGTGTGTACATACATATGCACCATATCTCTAATACATATAATACATATATACATAGTACATACAAAACCCTGTAGGTGGGAAAAGCCTGAAATGAGGATGGGGGATAGGAAAAGGGAAATGCTATTTAATAATAACTATATGTCCCTCATTGTTCTGTGTTTTGCATATGAACCCACTGTTTCAGAAGTTCCCTTTTATGTGTGGCCCAGACTTACGTTTTTCCACCAAATAAATAATTTATAAGTAAGAAATCTATGCTTTGCAACTGCTGGGTTGTTTTGGTCTTAGGTATACCCAGTGTAAATGTATCAGGGGAATGTTTGGTCTAAAGAAAATCAGGCTGCATAACACCTTAAGAAAGCTAGTTACATGTTGCCATAGCAACTGGAGGAGCCTCAGAGTGAAGGGCAGAGTTCTTCAGATTCATCTACTGCCTCTGCAGATTGACTTCCTTGAAACAGAATCATGTTTCACAATCATCGATACTGAACAGTTATTTTCATTTTTAAAAAGTTACAACCTTAAGTTGATATATTTTGGCTTTTTCTCTGGTACCATTCAGTATCTTTTTACCTTTGGAAGGTGGGAGTTGGTAATGGTATCCTTTGAAACTTTCATTCATGCATTCACTAATATAGTTGGGACCTGTGCCAGTGGGGTTTGATGGTAATTACTCTTTGATGGCTGGAACATGACCTGTGAAATGAGTTGCTGGTCTCACTTTAACTCCTAATGGACAGAAATCCGTGTCTCTCAGAACCCAACTATAACGCTTGTTTTCAGGCCCCGGGAAGAAGTTAGCAATTTGAATGGCTTCTCCTGAGGGTAAACTATAGGGTCTGTTCCCCAGGAATTATACTTTGCCTTTCTAGACCACAGATATCATTGCAATTAGTCTCCAAATACCCTGTGAGATGTGTGTAAATAACACAAACCACATTTGCAGACAGGGCCACCCTTTGAGAGTACAAGTAATTTGCCTTAGGGGAAGGGGGTAAGATAATTAGTAACAGCAGGAGTAGAGATTCCAGAGGTTCATACTCCATTCCTTGCTAAGTCCACAGGAAAAAAATATCTTCCTTTTACTCAAGAAACACAGCCAATTAATGGACAGTGTGGGTGGGGATGGGTCAATATTTGTTGATTAATTTTTGAAGTTCATTTTTATTTTATGGGGTTTATTGGTGCCTACTATTAAGTTTTTTTTTCCCCCAATAACAAGTCTCTTGATGTCTTCTCTACCAAGACTGAAAAAAGTGGGTGAAAAATGTGTGTAGTGAGAACTGGGGCTGGAGGTTGGAGAGAGCTGGATTTATTGGGGTGTTTTAGAAATTAGTAAGGACATAAAGAAAAAGATTCCGCTGACACAAGAAATAATTAATTGAAAAAAAAAGAGCACATACATTGTATAAGACCTGTTTTAGATTGTGAAGGATACAAGGTAACTAAAGCATGTGTTCTGTCCTCTGTAGCTCACATTCACAGCAGATAGTCACAAGTACTCTGTTTAGTCAATTTTCTGCTGCTATAACAGAATACCACAGACTGGGTAATTTATACAGAGAAGCTATTTATTTGGCTTATGGTTCTGGAGGCTGGGAAATCCAAGACTATAGCACCAGTATCTGGTGAGGGCCCTCCCATGGTGGAAGGTGTGAGGAAGCGAGCACATGAGACAGAGAGAAAATGGGAGTTGAACTTTTATCAGATGCCTACTCCAAAGATAACTTAACACATCCCCATGAATACAGCATTAATCTATTTAGGAGGGGAGAACCCAGATAGCCTAGTTACCTCTTAAAGGCTTCATCTCTTAATATTTTTACAATGGCAATTATGTTTCTGACATAGGAGCTTATGGGGGGCACATTCAAACCATAGCACACTCCAATAATAGTATTTTGGGACTTGGTAGGGAGAAATTTATTCTGACTCTAGTAAGAAGTAGAGAACAATAGTGAAATGTTTCATAGGGAATTTGAGCTGGGCTTTATAGAACAAGTAGGAATTCACAGGCAGATATTACAGAAAGGCTATTTTAGGAATCGTGAGCAGCATAAAGAACAGCATAAATTGGAGACATTCGCAAAAATAACATGGGCCAATGTGACTTGAGATTTAGGGTAAACTATAGGGCAGAGTTGCAGTCGAAACTGAAAAAGCAAAGACTCTTTGGGAGGGCTCTAAATAGCAGGTAGAGTACTTTGGAAATTATTCCATATGGAGTCAAAGATTTGGAAACCAGAGGGTTACATAGGGTCACTTCGTTTGTTTGTTTGTTTGTTTTGAGACGGAGTCTCACTCTGTCGCCCAGGCTGGAGTGCAGTGTCACAGTCTTGGCACACAGCAACCTCTGCCTCCTGGTTCAAGCAATTTTCTTGCCTCAGCCTCCCGAGTAGCTGGAATTACATACCTGGCTAATTTTTGTATTTTTAGTAGAGACAGGGTTTCTCCATGTTGGCCAGGCTGGTCTTGAACTCCTGATCTCAAGTGATCTGCCCACCTCGGCCTCCCAAAGTGCTAGGATTATATGCATGGGCCACCGCGCCTGGCCGGGTCATTGTTCTTATGCAATGATATATTAGTAAAGTTATTTTTTAAAAGATTCACATAGTCTGATTCATGTTCTAAGAAGATATCTTAAGAGGTGAACATATTCTGAATTTATGTCAACATGTGTGTAATTAATTCCCTCAAAATGTCATAAATGGTATCCCTGTACAAGTTTAAATGGGTTTGCACAGGCTGCAAACTAAAGAAACCATGCAAAAATGCTGACTCAAGTATTTCAAGTGACAACTATCAAGTTTAAATGCTTGCAGCACTGTTGTATCAGGAAAATGGATCCATGCAGCTGGAAAGCCAGGCACATCCCTGAAATTTCCCTTTCTGTGTTTCCTTTCTTGCAGGAACAGCAATGGAAACCTTCCATGTACAGCAGCATAACTCCAGTTTGCTTTCCAAGCCCTCTGATTGAGAAGCCAATAGGCAAAGTAAGAATGAACCTACTTTTATCAGACACTATGATTCGAGCCAGTTGGCTGTTATTTCTTTTTGCCTTGAGCTATTTCGGTGAAATAATAAAATTGATCTTATAAAAGTAACTGGTATAATTCAAAGTTTGTACTATTTGGTTGGCCTTAGTAGGACTTTCTCGGGCAAAATGTTGAGTCTGAGAAAACTTTGATCCGAGAGTCCCTGTCCTCAGTGTCTGCCTCCACACCCATCCCAATGGCATCCTCCCCATCTTCCTTCACTCTTCTGATCTCTCCACTCTGATTCACCTTCCCCTGCCTGTGGAAACTTATAAGAAAGAGGGTGCTTTTAGTCACTGACATCTTCATGTGGAAATCAGCCACAATACTAACTGTACAATATTTGTCATTTAAACTATCTTGCAGACTTAAAGACTTTGCCTCTAGAAACTACAGGTATATGCTTGAACTGCTCCTGTTCTGGACCTGCAGTCACAGCCATCAGTCCCACTGGGGAGTATAGCACCCTAAAGGAAGAGTGTGGGGCTCTCTGAAGCCAGCCCACCTGGCTTCAAGTCACAAGTCTGCCATTCACGGGCTGTGTGACAAGTCCCCTGTTAAAAAAAAAAAAAAAAAAAAGAGATCCAATCAAACAAAAACTCATTATAATGGTACCTGCCTCATGGGGCTGTCACAAAGATAAAATAATTTATTTATTTATTTATATATATTTTTGGAGACAGAGTCTTGCTCTGTTGCCTAGGCTAGAGTGCAGTGGTGTGATCTCAGTTCACTGCAACCTCTGCCTCCTGGGTTTAAGCAATTCTTATGCCTCAGCTTCCCGAGTAGCTGGGACTACAGGCATGTGCCATCACACCTGGCTAATTTTTTGTATTTTTAGTAAAGACTGGGTTTCGCCATGTTGCCCAGGCTGGTCTCGAACTCCTGAGCTCAGGCCATCCACCCACTTTAGCCTTCCAAAGTGCTAGGATTACAGGCGTGAGCCACCGTGTCCTGCCTAAATAATTTAATATAAATCTACAAGAGCAAGGAATTTTTTTTTTTAATTTTTACCTATTTTGTCCACTATGTATTCAGGCACTCAAGGAGTTATACAAATGAATTGAATACATGAATAAATGAAAAGCTAACTAGTAAGCTTAGAGAAACTACATCCCCAATTTGCTTATCTCAAGAAATAGAAGAAGGAGGTGTTGTATTTCAGAAAGAGAAACCAAACTCTGGTGAGTAGATCAAGCATACCTTCCAGGTATACCTTAACAGAAGGATCACAGTGTCCCTGGGATTCTCACCACCTTCCTGTCCTTTGCTACTGCAGTACATCTCTGGACCACACGCAATTCAAAATCTAGTATGAAACATAGTCACTGCCAGGAAAAGCCAAAAACAAACAAATACAAATTCTTTAAATAGTGTTCTTATAGATATATGTGGGTAGAACCAGAGGGGGGGTTTTTGCAGTTTTTAAAGGAAATGAATCTGTTTTCCTAGCTAATTCCTGGTAATTTTGCCTTGGCCACAAGTCCTGCCAAGGCAGCTGTATGCGGAGTGTGAAATCCCGGGTGAAGCAGAAGCCGCCTGTCTGTGCTGTCAGCGAGGCTGACATTTTGCAGGCGTAGCAGGGGAGCAACCCTAGTTTCTTGGGACTGTGTTTCTGTACTTTGTGTTTGGTGAGGTCTGCACTTCCCCTCTGCTGACTTCAGTTCCAAGTAAGAGGAATATCCTTTCGCCCAAAGATTAAAGCAACCAACCGACAACAAAACACACCCTGGATGTCACAGAATGTGTTGCTAACTGTTCCAGTATTCACAGCCTTGCCCCCATGGCTGTCCCCTCTAGCCCCCATGTTTTGACATTGTTTATATAGCCTCTAAATAGATCACCAGTTTGTCTGTGGAGACAGAGAGAAGCCTTTTCAAAGGCGAAGGTCAAAAGTCAATGAACCCCTCAGGGGTCGCTTGACTAAATTTCATTTCAATTCAGTATGTGGTCCGGAGTTTACTCCCTGGTTTTCTAGGCATGATGAGGAACAGAAGCAGCAGTATACAGATGTTAGGGAGTGGCTTTTTGAAATGCTTTTCAGAGAGTGGAAGTGAATTTAGCACAGTATGACCATCCATGGTTCTGCGATATTGTCTCTCTGTGTGATTCTCGGGCCCTCCTTCCCCACTGGGGCGGTTAGCAGATGGGCTTTCTGTACGGTGTCACCAGGACTGTTCTGGGTCGAGTGAGATCGCTCCCAAAGGACGCTCTTGCTCTCTTTTATCGTAGCTCTGGCTTTTGGGCTTAATATACTTGCTATAAATTACTCTAATGAATTTATTTTGCAGTCAGCTTTGATATTCATCTACCTGGAGGGGAGAAATGACGCTAAAAAATGTAAACAGAGTCAATCTATAATTATAGGGGCCCATGGAAGGCAGCATTTGGGTGGATAGTTGAAACCTATGGTTAATCTGCCCAGAATCCAAACTATCTTCCTCACTACCAAGAAATTTCGAGGGTAAGGCTGAAAGCTGGCTCAAGATGGGATTTTCACCACCCAAACAATGATTCTCCAAGCTGAATCAGGGATCGGCATTTTGTTGTTGCTGTGGGGGAAGGGAGTGTCTTGTGAAAACCCACAATTGGAAAACAGAGGATTTCAATGTGAGCACATGATAGAAAACAACATTTTGGAGCCAGCTCAAATCTTAAAACTAAATGATAACTCTTTTCCTTAATGGTTGTGATGAGAGGGTAGGCATAATGGGGAGAAACTCTTGGAGCAGAGAGGAAGAAGCCAGAGAAATCACTCTGGGCAACAGGCAAGCAAGCCTAGAATATGTGGTTATCTACCCGTCAGATAAAGAGAAATCGAGTGTTTTATTTTACATAATTGGAGTCAGCGCCTTTTGAATGAAACATACAAATTTATGTAAATAAGAATGCAAATGTTAAAAATATGTGTCTTGGGATTTCCTGGGGATAACCTGGCAGCTTTGTCTTCCTTTCCTTTGCAGCTGCTAAATATTGTGTTGTGAAATCTCCAGCTGAACTTATTCCATCAAATCCCACAATGTTACAGCTAGAAGACTTTTCTTTGTAATTTATAGGAGATACTTTGGAGGATGAACTAAAACAGAGTAAACTTTAACATATTTTACAGTAAACATGTTACTCCCTAATGGTTGCACAGGCCAACAATAAATGCAAAAAGAATTGCAGGATTTTAATAAATTAATGAGAGATTCAAAGTAGACTACTGAAAGGGAATTGGACAATGATGATGAAAACTAAAGCAGGGACTGAGGGAAATAGGTAACATTAGAGGTTAACATAAAAAATTACCAGGCTCTCCGCAAAATTCTCATTGGTGCTACTGGCAAGGTATTGTGCATATCATGCCAAGTTAAAACAACCAAGTAAAATGCCATGACCTCAGCAAACTGTGCAGGTTTCTCCAGATACACAAGCAAACAACTGCTTTGAATAAGGGGCTGCCCATGACCATGACTGCCAACTTGCCTTTCTCAACAGAATTTAGGAGACACCTTAATCTGATTGACTTGTCCTCAATCAAAAAAAAAAAAGTAATAAATAAAATTATTTTATTTGACCAGAAGGAAATGGAGAGATAAACTGCTTTGAAGGATAGCAGTGTTATTAAATGAAAGGATGTCTAAGAAAGTAAACAAGACTCCCTAGGCGTTCTGTATTTCTGAGTGAGGGAAAGGGAAACTGAAGGAGCCAGGTGGAAGTAACTGGATAAACAACAGATTAAAAAGAAAGGAACTGGTGAACTTTGAATCAACAAAACACAGATCTGCTTTATTTCAAAGTTGGGAAGCCTCCATGGGAAGAAAAAATTAGAGGCGTCCTTTTCGTAGATTAATCTTTAGCTTCTTTTACCACCACACAATTTTTCCTAGCAAAAGAATGTTTAGCTTAGCTAATGGGGACCATTTTAAGAGTAGTCATGTAAGTCACAGGCTGTTCAAAATTACTGAACATTATATTATTATATTATGGCTAGATATGGATGGACAGCACTAATTCCACAGGTGCCTTGAGACATCATATTCATTATTTAGGGCTGTCAGTGACCCAAGAAGATGGAGAAGTCAACTCAATAACTAGTGTATAGACTACTGCTGCTTCCAAAAAATACTGAAAGTCGTGTGTGGAATAATTGGAAGATATTGATTCTTAGCAAAGCAAGTCATAACAACTACTATAGTTGTATAAGAACATGATCTTAGTTTTTCTGTGAGTACCCCTGATTTGGCTGGAACTCTTTTGCTATATGTTTAGCTTCTGGTCACTGAGGCAAAATGTGTTAAGCCAAGTAATTTTCTTCTGTAGCTTTTTGTGATGAGGTGAAGAAAAGCTTCCAGTCAAATAGTCCGTTTTTTTCTTCTAAAATAATGGAAGCTTCAGTTGGGCATATGTCCACCCAGATAAAAAGCACATTTATCAGCCTCCCTTGCAGCTAGATGTGGCTATATGGCTAGATTATGGCCAATGGGATGTGAGTGGACATGATGTATGTAACTTACAGGTCATGTCCTTTATAAAAAAGCCCTGCCCCTTATGTTAGCTGGAATACAGATGTGGTAACAGAAGCTAGACCAGCCACCTGAGACCAAGAGAGAAGGGCAGAGAAACAACATTGAAAAGTTGAGGTCTCTGATTCCATAGAACACTTGGCTGCTTGTGCTCTGACTATAATTGCCTAAGACAGAAATACACTTCTGTTTGGTTTATGCCACTACTATTTTGGTCATTATTACTGTGGCAGCAATAATATCTTACTGCACAATTACACAGAGCAGAGGGTAGGCTGCCTGTTCTGTGGGAAGTCACTGAGAGAACCTGATACAATAAATAGTAGTGAAAGGAATGGAGATGCTAACTTGTTAGCACCCATTTCCTAAATCCAGCCTCGTTGAGAAAGAAGAGGCAGATAAGCTAACTTCTGGCTTGAAGAACATGGTGGTGAGCAGGACTCTGCTTAGCAGAGAGCCCTGTCTTTCAGTTCTGAAGGTAGTAAACCTAGGTATCTAATCTCAAAGAAATTCTCCTTAGAACTGAGGCAAACAGATTCTACTGAAACTACTCAAACTCAAGAGTCCATTTTCTATCAAATAATGTTTCTATTGATACTAGCTGTTTGTCCACTGTAGTGAAGTCCATTGTCTATCAAACAATTCTTCCAAGGATACTTACTGTAGGTAGGAGGTGTCATTAGTTTGGGGATATTCACAAATAGTTTAATGTCTGTATTTCACATAATATTCTATTTCATTATCTGAGGCAGGTTTGGATTCCCTAGGGCAACCATCTTGGACTCCAGCTTTTGCTATAACTCTATCACACAGGCTTTCTATGGGAACAGTGAATCATTACCTCATACCTCATTCTAGATCCATTCTTTTTTTATTTAACATGAAGTAATACTTATTGTTTTGGCTTAATAGATTAACCCTCTAAAAAGGCAATGGTTACTATCATACACTAGAGTCCATGGCAGATTTTTTTCATCCTGCCTTTCAGCTAAATGTCTGAAACCATGATATGTACGTAGTAGCCAGGTAGTGCCTGTCTGTTGATGGTGAAATGAATGCAAAATTTTAGTTTGTTATTCAGTTAGGTATTTTCATCTTCTTATCCTCATTCATAATGGTTTTTGAAGTAGTATTCTATGTTAGTGGCTTACTGTATTTGACTAAGGACAAATAATTTTTAAAATCAGTATTATCTGTACTGTCTTGTAAATATTAAATAATCAGAGGGGGGACTATAGATCTCTTAAATTTAGAGTCCTGGGTTCTCACTACCACCCAAGCATAACCTAGGCTGAAGTTTACTACATTAATTCCATCTGTAGGAGTTCAACTGGGTAAAAAAATACAGTCTAATGCATTAAGGTGAGAAGTTTATCCACCCTAACATTCCTAACAGGCAAGATGGTTCTATAAATAGACTCGATAAACTCAGAAGAGTTGTAATAAAATTTAACAAATGAGCTTAAGCCCATGGCAATTCATTTTATGTCCTCCTTTAAGGATAAAACTATTTAATGTTAGCTCTCAAAAGCCACAGAAAATAAATGAAATGTGAACAGTTAATATCTGTAGAATATTTATTAGGCTTATAAATTGATTAATTTTAGAAGTATGTAGATGCCTCCCCACTATAAAACTGAGAAACAATAAACGTGAGAAACAGGTATCATTCTTGTTCTTCTGATCCTGCTTTACAGCTTATCTTTAAAGGTTAAAACATATGGTACAACATGTATGGACTAAATGCACACACACATCACCATATACTGATGTTTAAATATAAATAAAAGTTTTGTTAACAGCATATGCACACGAACACAACACACACCATCCTCAGATCCTTGCTGCTGTGGAATGTGCTGCTATCAAAGGGCACAGAGTCATATTTGTATTACAGAGATATTGTTTATTCTTTCCTTGTCGCAATGTGCTGATACTTTTCCATTAACACCACCCTAATGTCTCTTCCAGAACCCAGGTGAAAAATATCAAGTGGAACTTCTGATGGAAAAATGCTAAGTAGATGGCCTGGTGTATTACTGAGGGAAAAAGAAACTTTAATTTGTACCACCTGAGGGTAGTCAAAACACATGACCTAAGGCTGCCGTAGGATGCATATACCCTCTTTTCACATAGATAGGAAAAAAAAAATCACTGAGCTCTGTGAAGCCACATCACTGAATCATCAGCAGGATTAATACAGAATTAAGGCAGTTTTGCTACCTTCCCAATCTCCTTGCCCTTGAGTTTCTTTTGTTATCTTCCCAGTACTCTTGAGAAAACCAAAGGAAGCACTCCCTGGAAATACCGCATTCTCAGCTGAAAGCTAGCCAAGCATCCACTAAGAAATAAACAGACATTGAATACCTACCATGTGTGAGGCAGTGTGCTATAAACTGTAATCCAGGGCAATTTTGTATAAATGATAACAGAAATAATAATTATTACAACAATTACTATTGTTTGAGGACTCTGTGCCAAACACTAACGTAAGTTCTTTATAAGCATTATCTCATTTAATCATCTTACAGATGAAGCCTAGGTGATAAACAACTTGTTCAAAGTCACAAAGCTAATAAATGGTACGTTGGCATTCAGACCCAGGCATGCTGACTCAAGAACCTATGTCTTAACCACCTGCTAGAGAAGTGCTTTTTTATTTGGACAATCTCTTTCCTATTCCTAGTTGAAATATAATCAAAGTTTCCTGAGAGGACACAGAAGGATGCCAAAAAAAGTATGACCTGGCTTATATTATGGGTCACTCTGGCTACAGTTAGCCAACCTTAGATTTTCATTTTCTAAAGGGCCCCAGTTATAAATAGCAACTGTGCACAAATGGGAAATAATGTGTGAGCCTGCAGCCTTAGGCTGATCCTTTAAAAGCAGTTGTTTTACAAAGAAATTTAAAGGGAGTATGAGCTGCAAAGATGTCACTATGAGGTTACTCAGATCAAAATAGTATTCTTCAGAAGCCATTCCATATATTTAGGTGTCCCAGTTTATCTCCTCTGGGAGAAGGAGGCTTAGTGTTCACCTAATCCATGAGGTTATGCATTTAATTTTCAGAACTTTAACACTGTCAATGAAAAGACTCAAAGTGATATTAAATATCATTAAAATTCAGTTTAATGAAAGAATTACAATCAAGTCAAGGGTGGAGCTAAAATCTCCACTCACCACTAATGCCTGTAAAGTTTTTGCATATAGGCAGCTTGGATGCCTGTTAAAATAAATGAGTACAAATGAGGTGAACAGAGAGCAGATCGCATAAAAGTTTATGGTCTGAACAGTAGGGAGGTAATTAGTGGAGCGATGAACTCCCCAGTTGTGTCTGTGTTTTTAAAGGTCACTTCCTGTATTTCATAAAAGATGGGGGATTACTTTCATAGGACTTTGCTTGCACCATTGTGAACATTTATTTCAGCCCACCTTATTTTAAGGTTGTTTGATTGCACATCTGTCTTTTGCTCTGGCTTGTAATCTCCTTGACTAGGGGCTGAAGTGGGGCAGGATCATGCTCTATTAATGTCCCCAAAGCACCAAGCACAATTCTTTTCACATAGTAGCTGCTTGTTAAGGAGAGGGAGTGGCAGAAGAAGGAAAGGAAAGCAATTCTCACACTGATGAATCCGAGATCCATGTTTTCTGATTACCTGGGTTCAGGTTGCTTTTTATTACATGCCTTCTGAAACCTCTCTAATGAATTCCTTACTGGAAAATTTAACTTTACCTTAAAAGACAGTTGCTTACAGAATGATAACGCTTGAAAGGCTCTATTCATTTGGAAAAGTCAGAAACTACAATTTTTACACTAAGGAGTTTCAAAAAGAATCAGCCATAAGAGATGTTATGTTGAGATTAAAACAAAATAGAAGCCGAGCCCTATGACCTGTGCCTGTAATCCCTGCTATTCAGGAGGCTGAGGTGGGAGGATTGTTTGAAAGCAGCCACTGCACTCCAGTCTGGGCAACATGGTGAGACCTCATCTCTAAAAAAAAAAAAAAAAAAAAAAAAAAAAAAAAAAAAAAAAAAAAAAAAAAAAAAAAAAAAAAAAAAAACAGGGAGAGAGAGAAAGGAGAAAATGAAAATGTTCTTATGCTTTGTGAAAGGAAGTTAGTTGTTTCCTTCATTCACAGCACCAGTGAAGGTGATCCTGCCAGGATTGGTAGGAAACCCCTAACTGCCAAACCCAGAGAATACATTCCAATTCTTCTCTGACTTGATCTTCACAGCATTTGACTCAATTGCCCTCTTCTGGAAAGTTGTTCCTCTCTTGGGTTTTATGAGAGCAGACCATTCTAATTCTCATCTGACCTTCTTGGTCTCTCTTACGATACCTCCAATGTTGTGTTACCCAGTGTTCCATCCCTGGTGCACTTTGTGTTTTTTGTTTGTTTGTTTGTTTTTGTTTTTGTTTTTTTGAGATGGAGTTTTGCTTTTGTTGCCCAGGTTGGAGTGCAATGGCACAATCTTGGCACAGCACAACCTCTGCCTCCTGGGTTCAACCAATTCTCCTGCCTCAGCCTCCTGAGTAGCTGTGATTATAGGCATGCGCCACCACACCTGGCCAATTTTGTATTTTTAGTAGAGACGGGGTTTCTCCATGTTGTTCAGGCTGGTCTCAAGCTCCTGACCTCAGGTGATCCACCTGCCTTGGCCTCCCAAAGTGCTGGTTGTGTTTTTTGTGTGTGTATGTAAGTCAACTCTCTCCCTTTGAGCAGTTGTCTTTATTCTGTTGGTTCATTTACTCAACCTGTTCAGAACTAAACTAGTTAGCTTCTCTTTCCCTTCTGCTTCTCGTGCTCTACAAATGTTCTGTTTCTCCCTCACTGAATGGTCCTATCTTCTACCCAGCAATTCAGGCCAGATATCTGGGTGTCATCCACAATTCCTTCCTTCTCGTGCATTCAGTTAGCCACCAAATTCAGATGGTGCTTGGTCCTTAACATCTCGCTGTCTCCTTCCTCATTATGAAATCTCTATTTATGGCCCTCATCGTCTCTCATCTGGACACTGCATACAAGTTGTAAATATGATCAACTTACTTTCTCCACTAAGATGTGGAATGGCATCCTATTGGCTTCTGAGTTGGTCCACATCTCTGGATGGCAGAGGGAGCCATGTGGGATGTATCTACCCCTGGCCTCAGTGCCCACTGCCCATTGCCTCCAATGCTGTACCCCAGTCTCAACTTCACAACTTGGTGCCATTTTTCACCCTGCTCCTTCTGCTTGTTCTTGTCCAGTTCCTTTCTCTTTCAAAAAAATCTATCTTACAATTCACCTCCGCTTCTTTTCCTCCACTGCTAGAACCTCTGTTCTGGGTTAAAACTGTACCTTGCACTTTCTTTTATTACAGCATTGTTCTCACTCAGTTGAAATAGCATGTAATTGTCTCCTCTGAGTAATGAGTGTGTCTCTAATCTTTGTCTTGAATGTGTGGCACATACTAGGCACGGCATGGTCCAGAAATCCTGCTTGTGCCTGTGAATACCTTTTCTATTCATGTCACCACATACTGAGAATGCAGAGCTCATTCAAACCTAGACTTCAGAACTCTTCTTCTCACTTGTATATTTTTTCATTCTCCAGCCAGAGCACCAGACTCTTAACTTCATTAATGAGGAAAACAAAACACTTCTTTTCCTTACAGATGATTAATGCCTATTACTATGCTAAAACTCGTCTTAAGGAAAGGAAAGATTTTTATCAGTTAAGACCACAGAGACTCAAGCCTCGGCCAGTGTGAATTCCTCTCTATTAACTGATAACAATGAGATAATTGAGGAAGACAGGCATATTAAACAATTTAGGCAATTCTACCCAATCTATTTTATTAAAGAGAACTGCAATGGGAGTTAGAACTGCCTGCTGTGCCTTTAGTAGGCAAGAGTGATAAATGTGATTAGCAATTCCAGATGCTGTATGTATAAAGAGAAGGAAAAATGGTTACTGACTCCAGCTTGACTTTTGATATGAGACCAATCACAGAAGAAACCTAGGCTTCCTGTACCTTGAAAATATCTGACCTGTTTAAAGTTAGGCATTCTGGTAGGGGAATGCCAAGTATGAAAAGATAAGAGCTTTGCACCTATGAATTTAAACACCACACAAAGAAGAGCTTATTGCATTAAAATTGTAGTTTTGGGTTTTAGTCAAAACTGATCATTACAAAAACAAATTTTAATGATATACTTCTAGAGAATATGAGATACAAAAAAAACAAAATCCTCACATACTTTCATTTCGGCATGGAACAACTCTTACTATGGGGAAACCACATTTATAATGATATAACCAACAAAGTTTTATCAATTGTATTAGATGCATATCATTTGATCGATAGTGCTAGGTATTTTGAAACATACTAAAGAAGTTATTCCAGTCTTAAGGGATACAGACAGACTTATTCAGTGCTGGAAGGTCATTTAAATGTCACCTACTCTAACTTCCCATCTGTTGCTTAAATCTGTTCTACAAACATCTGCCAATCCTCCTGTAAATATCTCCAGTGATAGGGAACTTTCTGCCTTGTGAGGCAGCTCATTTCACATTTATACAGATCTTATTATGAATAATAATAAATATATTGAGTGCTTACTATGTGTCAGGCCCTGAGTTAAGTGTATCTTCAAAAATCCTATTTGATCTTCATCACAACCTTATAAAATGGTATAGTTATTAATTCCATTTTAGTGGAATTAATGATGAGAAAACTGATGCTTAGCAAGGTTGGGCAGCTTACCCAACAACACATAGCTGGTAAGTAGAGGACCTGGTTTTGACACTATGGTCTATATTCATAAACAGTATACAAATGCAGCTTCTCTAACTCAGCTTCCTTCCTATGTTGACCTTAAATTTACCTTCTTATAGCTTCTATTCATGGGTCCTAATTTTTAGTGGGTCGACACTAAACATGTCCAATCCCTTTTTCACATGGCAACTCTTAAATTAGTTGAAGGTAGCTACCTAACCCGCTCAACCCTTTCAGTCTTTCTACTGGATTTACAGTTCATCGCCTTCCAATTTTCCTTATATGAGATGGTTTCTGGGCCCTTCAGCATCATGGTAACTGCCCTCTGGACTGACTCTGTTTTAGCCTCTTACAAAATTCACACAGTATAAAATTACTTTTTATGTAGAATTAGTTTTGTTGGAAGAATGGAAACACAAGGTTGAGTTAGATGCTTGTGGTCAATCAAAGTGACTAAATGTTTTGCATATATGTTGGCAAGCTCTATCTCTGCTTTCCTATATCACAAGTTGATTTTTTTTAAACTTGAATTTAGAGCTTTGCACTTATCACAGTTATTTTTGTCTTAATTGTGTGGTTTATTATTCTAGAATGCTGAAATCTTTTAGGATTGAGATTCTGCCATCTGACATTTTTTTATATTCCCTTTGTATCCATTAACTTCTGCCATATATTAAACCACCCCAGACTTAGTGAATTTTAAAATAGCAACTTTGCTTCTAATTCCATGTGTCAGCAGTTAGTTTGGGCTCAGCTCAATGTCCTTTTAGACTTGACTGGGCTCACTCATGCATCTGTGGTCAGGTGGGAGCTGGTTGGTCTAGAAGAACCTCAGCTGGGATGGTTAGTCTCAGCTCTACGTGACCTTTCATTCTTCAACAGGCTAGCCTTGGAAAGGGAGGGAATCCCATGACAGCAAATGAAATAAGAAGGCCCCCTGAGTCCTCAGCTCAGGACAGGCATATCTTCACCTGCCCCACACTGTATTGGCCAAAATAAATCCCAAGGCCAGCGAAATAGAAGGTTGGAAAAATAAACTCTATCTCTTGATGGAAGAACATTCAAAATCACTTTCCAAGGTCCTACATGTAGGAAGACATGAAAACTGTCATTTTTGAAATCTGCCACCCTGTTAGAATCATGTCATTTGTGGATTTGATAAGCACACCATCAAAATTACCCCCTTTAAAATTTCATAGGAATTTCAATTTAATAATGTCTAAAAGTAAAGTCCTATGTCATATCATTTTTGCTTAGACAATCTAGTTAGACAACCAATACACTGTAAACAGTAAAAGAAAAAAATATATGCTAAATGATAACATTCTGTTTCTGAAAGGCATAATTTAAAGGACAGAAAGATCTGTAAGGGCCACCATCAGGAAAATGCTTCTTGATGAGATTAAACTTGGTCTAGATTTTTAAAAAGGCTAAAATCTGAATTGGAAGAAAGGCATTTAGGTTAGGGATTGGCAAGTGTAAAAGCATACAGATCAGAGAATGGACTAGAGTGACAAGATTGGAGAGTTAATTCTGAAAAATGAGTGGGAGAAGAAAGCCTGGCTAAGTGGTGAGGGATCTATAGTGAGAGAACATGAATTTGAATTTGATTTGGTAAGCAGTAGGGAACTATAGATAGTTCTTGAGCAAAAACATAATGTGATTAAAATTTTTGAAGACTAACCTAGCATTAATTTGAATGTAAATTTTTGGAGTCAGGGAAACCATTCATAATAAGTCTTACAGCTTTTCTTTTCTTTTCTTTTCTTTTTTTTTTTCCCTGACTGAAACCAAACATCTGATACTGATTTTTCCTAAGGTAGAAAAGAAATGGCCCAAATAATTACTTTCACAATAAGTTTCATTTCTACCAACTTAAGGAGCAGGCACAAAGTGCCAACACTTGGAAACAGGTGAATGTGTTCTTTTTCTTAAAGAAGGGGAAAAGGAAATGTAACTACTTCTGCTTAAGTCTGAGTTGTATGTCATGTGTACAGATTTTTCAAGGTTATTTCCCTCAATGGCAAAATGATGGTTTGCAGAAATAAAAAGCTGACAGTTTCAAGATTCAAAAACTTAGTGATTCAACAAAACCCTGAGTAATCACAAAAGTGTAGTTTTCCATTCTGGCATAGAAGTCCTCCTCACTGTAAGAGGACACAACAGACACCCAATTTTCTCAGCTATTCACTCAGACTGAGTCTTACTGTAGGGTCTCTGTAAATAATGAAACCACTCTCTAATCAAAGTTCTAATGCCAGGATGCCGAGAGCGTTGGGAAAATTATTAAATGTTTAGAAAACAGTTTAGGATTCCCCCTAGAAAAACACGAATTTGTCAGAATTCCATCACTAGATGGGTGATTCACTAGATAAAGGCCATTTTCACTACTTGTCTTCAGACTTTCTTGGGACACATCCTTTCTGGAAGAAATCAATTTAAATCTTCATTTAACCTTGTACACCAAAATGAATTCCAAGAATTGAATGTTAATAAATAAATAAATAAATAACATTTTGGAAAAAATACTGGTGATTGTTTAATGATCTAATATTTTAATAGAGTAAGACTTTCTTAGCTTAAAAATGTTGGAGCCCTAGGGTGCTAAAGGATCTAGGCAACAATTAATGCCTATTAAAACCATTAGCTCTTTGGGAATTTTGTAAAGGGTACATCAGGCTGACAATACCTGAAATCACTAATTAATTTTAACATTGCTAAATGTGGAACACTCAGAAATTATGTGTCTCATGACATGATGCAATAGGAAGTTTATGGTACCACCTATGAAGTATTCTGCCTAAAGATATTAAACCTGAAGCTTATCAAATCTGTAAATCTGACTACGACTTGACTGAAAATTTAGTGACAAAGGAATATAGTAAATGACATCACAAGGATATAGCATCCAAACCCAGAAAGCGGATATTCTTTAGGATAAATGACCCAGTTTCCTCAACAATGAAATGGCCTGGAATAGAAAAAAGAGGGAGAACTTAAAATAACATACCAACCAAATATAGCACATGGATCCTGTTTTAATATGGATTCAGAAATCCAATTCTGAAATGACATTTTTTAAAAATCAGGAGGCCGGGCGTGATGGCTCATGCCTGTAATCCCAGCACTTTGGGAGGCTGAGGTGGGCGGATCACAAGGTCAGGAGATCAAGACCATCCTGGCTAACACGGTGAAACCCCATCTCTACTAAACAAAATACAAAAAATTAGCCGGGCGTGGTGGCGGGCGCCTGTAGTCCCAGCTACTTGGGAGGCTGAGGCAGGAGAATGGTGTGAACCCAGGAGGCGGAGCTTGCAGTGAGCCGAGATCGTGCCACTGCACTCCAGCCTGGGTGACAGAGCGAGACTCCGTCTCGAAAAAAAAAAAAAAATCAGAAAAAACTGAGCCTGATTGGATATCAGACATGAAGGAATTACTGTTAATGTTGATGAGTGTGTTTATTGTATTTTAGAAGCTCTTATCCACTAGAGACATATTCTGAAGTATTTATATATGACATAACATTATATCTGAGGTTTACTTTAAAATGCTTCAGCAAAAGAATCCTGGGGAAAGGGGAGAGAATTGATGAAAGAAGAATTGCAGAATGTTGATAGTTATTGTGCCAAGTAGTAAGACATGTGGGTTTATTATAATATTCCTGCTACTTTTGTGTATGTTTGGAAATGTCCATTCAAATTATTTCAAAGTCATTGGAAAAAATCACAAAGGAAAAGGTCAATATGTTCTATTTAAATGAAATTAAGAACTTCTATGCCTTCTTAAACAGCAAGCTGGGGAAAATATTAGTTACAAATATGGCACACAAGCAATTAACATCTGTTTTTATACACATACATGCATATGCATATACATGCAGGTTGATAGGAAAAATACTAAGCATCTAATAGCTAAGTGATAGAATTCAGAAGGGGAAATATAAATTTCTTAAAATGTCCTTTTAGAGATAATCATTAAAAAGCAAGTTGAAGTATTTAAAATTGCTAAAGCAAGCTGTCCTCTGGAACATCTATGCCTATTATGTCCTGGAAAACAGTTATTTCCTATGATCAATGAGAAATTTTTGAAAATACTAGCAGCTTTCTTATTAAATGCCAAAAAAGTCCCATGTGCTGTACAGTAAGGACTATTTTGGGAAAGTCTTTCTAACACTTCTTCAGTGCTGATAAAATCCCAGACAAGAATCTTTGCTGGGGCTGGATAGGTAGTGTTTCAAATGAACTCAGGGAGTGGGTTGTGACAAGGAAGGGCTTCACAGGGTGTTTCTAGGGGTGTTGACAATGTTCTTCTTAATTTGGTTGATAGCCATATGGGTGTTCCTTTGTAACGACTTATTAAACTGTGCATACAGATTTTATGCCCTTTTTGGTAAATGCATTATATTTTATAATACAATTTTTTTTTTTTAGAGTAAACTTCAACAAGCGTAGTCACCCTTGAGCTGAGTTGCTTTATGTGGTGGTTGGCTCCAAATCACCCTGAGTGACCAAAGTGGACATAACTGCTTTAGAATGGAGTCCAGCATAACAGTAGGGTGGGGGCTCTATAATGTTAGAAGTTACTTCCCAAGAGGAACTCTTAACTCATATTTGGCTATTCGGGTTTTCCCCAGAGGCATTATTGGCTGTTGCGGGGGTGTTCAGTTCTGGAAATACCCTAAAATATAGTACTCCAGGAATACTAGTACTGGTAGATAGTACTCCAAGAATTCTCTGAGAAGGTGTTTTTTCTTTTTTCAAACCCATCCATATGGGATGTTTTTAAGGACAGAAGAACTCCATATATTTGATAAATTAAGATACTGTCCTCAGGACTTTCTATGAATGGGCAAACTCTGAGATGGCTTTCTAATGGTGAAGATGGATTTATTCTTTTTTTTTTTTTTTTTTTTTGAGACGGAGTCTTGCTCTGTTGCCCAGGCTGGAGTGCAGTGGTGTGATCTCCACTCACTGCAAGCTCCACCTCCCGGGTTCACGCCATTCTCCTGCCTCAGGCTCCCGACTAGCTGGGACTACAGGTGCCTGCCACCACGCCCGGCTAATTTTTTGTATTTTTAGTAGAGACGGGGTTTCATCGTGTTAGCCAGGATGGTCTCGATCTCTCACCTCATGATCTGCCCGCCTCGGCC
Organism: Homo sapiens; assembly: GCF_000001405.40. Classification (NCBI taxonomy): domain Eukaryota; kingdom Metazoa; phylum Chordata; class Mammalia; order Primates; family Hominidae; genus Homo; species Homo sapiens. The sequence goes on along the minus strand of NC_000004.12, from coordinate 81,586,380 downwards.
TCCCAAAGTGCTGGGATTACAGGCATGAGCCACAGCGCCCGGCCTGGATTTATTCTTAACTATTTTAATCTTCCTACCTAGCTCTTCCAGGGGAAGATGGGAAGCCTGAATAAAACAGTGGATGATTAGATTAAGCTATGATATTCAAAAATCAACCAAGTTCCTTCTCTAACATTAACTTTCAGCTCTATGATTCTGCATGCAATTTGTAATTGACATGTCCAGAAGGCTTGTGTGCTGAGCAATCATATCTGGTCAAGATCAAATCCTATTCTTAGTATCAGGTGCTCAACAATAATTTGTTGTCTATTGTCATGCAAAAAAAAAAAAGATAAAAACAACCCAAGAATACCAAAGAAAGATGTTACCATTTGTTGATAAAATTGTGGAGATAATCTATTTTAAAGTTGTTTTTAGAAAACCTACTAAATATCTCAAATAGGAAAATATAAATATAATAGTAATTCATCTTTAATGGCTTCTAATAATTAAATACTTTATCATTTAGAATAAGTAACTAAGGCTTTTCATGAAACCATACAACTCTCATTATGTTCTGTAATTTTCTCTTCCCACTTCTTTCCCTAATCTCCACCAACTTTATCAAATTACCCAGGACCACAGTGGTATATTTTATCTTCAAGAAAGTCTCTTCCAGGGACAAGAAATTTAATCTTTAAGTTTCATCCATGAGTTTGGAATGTTAATTAATGACAAATAGAAATGTTATTTGATTATTTACAATAGAATTTGGATGTCTTTTCTTGTTTTTTTTAAAAAACAAAACTCTTTTTCTGATCATGGAAGTAATACTTTATTTTTCCTCATTGTGGGTAATTTGGAAAATTCAGGGAAGGTCAAAAAGGAAACGAAAATTTCCACAATCCAAAGATAACCATAGTTAATATTTTGTTGTATTTTCTTTCCATGTGTGCATACATTTGTGTTATATAACTTAGATAATTCAGCATATGTAGTTTTCTACCTAATTCATTTTAGCTTCATATTTTCATGAGCATTTTACAATGTCACTAAATAGATTTCAAAGATCTCAATTTTAATAACTAATATTTGAGTGTATTACTATAGCTTAAGTTATTTTTACCAACAACTAATTCCGGACATTTTGGCAGCTTCTAATTTTTGTCATTATAAATAATGTTAAAATAAATGATGAATATACTTATGCATAGATCTATGTATGTTTCTCTGATTACTGCCTTATAATTATTCCTAGAAATGAATAACAAAGGTTAGAAACAAAATTTTACAATACGTATTACCTAATTAGTTTTTAAAAGTATGTTCAGTCTATGTTTTTACTAGCAATATATAAGAATGCCAATCTCACTATACCTCCATCAGCACCGAATATTATATATATATATATTTTTTTTTTGTTTTTTGAGACAGAGGAGTCTCACTCTGTTGCCCAGGCTGGAGTGCAGTGGCCCAATCTCGGCTCGCTGCAACCTCCATCTCCCAGGTTCAAGTGATTCTCCTGCCTCAGCCTCCCAGCTACTAGGGAGGGCCATCACATCCAGCTAATTTTTGTATTTTTGGTAGAGATGGGGTTTCGCCATGTTTGCCAGGCTGGTCTTGAGCTCCTGACCTTAAGTGATCCATATGCCTTGGCCTCCCGAAGTGCTGGGATTACAGCCATGAGCCACTGTGCCCAGCCTGAATATTGTAATTTTTAATCTTTGCTAGTTCAATAGATTAAATCTCATTGTTTTCATTTGTTATTATTTATTTAGTAGTGGGGTTTATTTTTTCCCATGGCTGTTTTTTATATGTCTGCATCTGTATAATACATGTTCATTTCCTTGATCCATTCTTCTATTTGAACGTTAGTATTTTAATACTGACTTTTAAAAAATATATGTGACAGGGATCAAATAAAAATACATTAAATCATATATTTGTTTAATTGTGGAATTGTTTTGTAATCTCTCCACCTTTCCCTTTCTCTCTTTTCTGTTCCTCATTTCTCTGCTCATAAGGAGGAATGTTGAACTCTGCTGACTGGAGTGAGGCGGCGTTGGGAGAGTATAGGCTAAATTGATAAACATAAGAAAAAGCACGGACATATATTTTAAAAAAATAAGATGTGGAAATATAGAGATACCTGATTGGGGGCTAGGGGAATATTTATGAAAACAGCAAGAGGTTGGAGCTACTTAGCAAGAGGGATAAGAGGAAGATAAGAAAAAAAGCCAGGATGGGCTACTTGTTCCCGGTTTGGGGACAAGATGATAAGGAGTATGAGCAGCAGCTCTGATTAATGAGGCTTTGATGAAAGGGATGGGCAAAGAGGATTTTTAATAAATTTTACTGTGTTTCATGCAGTGAAATCTCATTTCCTGCTATTAATACCTCTGCTCCTCCAAACAAAACAAAAGTCTTTAATAAAATGTCTATAGTGCTCTTCAAGGGCATGGAATTTGATTTGTGTTTTGTTTGGATGAGTCCTTGGGGTAGGATGGGACTTACCAGGAGTTTGAAAAGCCCAGGTTTATTATTTAGGTTAAACTCACGTAATAAATATAAATAATCCTGTCATATTTTTAAACAAATATTTCCCCTATTGTCTGTTTTATCTTTTAAGGCTTTCATAAAACTTTATGAAGATGATATACACGCAAATGTTTCTCACTGGGCGTAAAAGATGAATTGGTTGAGATTTAAAAATTAGGTTTTATTTTAATGCTGCTTTAGAGTCTGGGAGGTGGATATAGAAACTTGTAGGCTTTCTAGGAGGTGGATATAGAAACTTATAAAACTTAGACTAAAAAAAGGTCTCTTCTGTCTAGGCAATAAATTTTTTTAACCAAATATATAGCATTAGACACACATATAATACAGTGAGGTTTGGGGAACCTTCCCCTGGGCCCCTCCCAGTGACGCAGGTAACTTGGGTCAATTCTGTCACAGTCATACGTCAGCATCTGCAGGGATTGGTAACAGGAACCCTGCAGATAGTAAAAGCTGAGGTCAATGCTGTATGCTAAAGTCCCTGGTACAAAATAGTGTAGTACAGTTGGCCTTCTATATCCCTGAAAAAAGATAAGGCAAAACACTCAAAAAAAGAAGACTTCATATTCAGAGATGCTACTGCTACTTTCATTAAATGGTGGGTGGGCCAACTGTATTATGCTTCTGCTGTATTATACTTTTTGACATCTAAATAAGTATATCTATATATCTCTGTCTCTATATGGTTAAATCTACAGGTGGGTGTGTGTGTTTATTGGAGTGACCCAATATCATCACCCTTCTATACTTCCAATTTTTCTGTGATGTCAGTATTTACATTTAACACTGAAACAATTATGGGATGAATGACTTTGATGTGTAGGATGAGGTGAGGATTGAGGTTGATGTTTTCCTCCAGATTATACCATTTTTTCTAATATTATCATTGGAAAGTTAATTCATTCCCTGTTAGTTTACGATACCAAGAAAAGAAAAATAGCTCAGAGCAGTCTGCACTGAGATATACAAAATTTACCAGGCCCAGAGAAGTGAGTATGGGACTTCAGCCCCACATTCATGCCTGGGAACAATTATTTAAAGCCATTTTTCCTCCTAACTGCCTCACTCATTATCTTCATGTTCCTGGAAATTGTGATACAAAAACCAATATATAGTCAATTAATAGTTTATATTAACTTAATATAAATTCTTGGTAAACACCTTAAGAACTACCACTTCTATTTTCCATAAAAACCCACCCATAACTACCACTAATCAGAGTGTATATTCAAGACAACTTAAATTTATGCCATCAGGTGGCTATTCTCAAGCTTTGGATGATGATTAAGTATTGAGTTTTTTATAAACTATATACATAGGGAAACAAGACAAGGATGCCCATTAAGACCACTAAATATAGAGTTTATTATAGACTCTATATTTAATCATATTTTCTAAGCCAGGCACAGTGGCTCATATGTGTAATCCCAGCACTTTGAGAGGCCTAGGCGGGCGGGGATCACTTGAGCTCAGGAGTTTGAGCCCAGCTGGGGAACAGGGTGAAACCTGGTCTTTACCAAATATACAAAAAAAAAAAAAAAAAAAAAAAAAAAAATCAGCCCAGTGTGGTGATGTGCATCTGTGGTCCCAGCTACTTGGGAAGCTGAGGCGGGAGGATCACTTGAGCCCAGGAGACAGAGGTTGCAGTGAGCCAAGACTGCACCACTGCACTCCTGCATGGGTGAAAGTGAGACTTTATCTTAAAAACAAAGAAACAAACAAAAAAACATGTTTTCTAAATCTCTTTAAGGTTGACAGTACACAGAACAACTTGTGAATTTTTAATATGCATTTTGACTCTGGTCACCATACTGAACCTTTAAAACATTAATTCTGATGTTTTATTCAGTCTCCTGGGCTTTCTAAAGAGATGTATACTCTGTATAGCTAGAAATAAAATATCTAGAAAAGAGATAAAATCAATTGCACTTTTTATATTTTGATTGGAAGACTTTCCAGGAAAGTTTTTATAATACTGGAAAACAATAGCCAGCTCATAGCTAATTATGGAACACCAGAGATATTCCTATCTAATGCTGATGTCATTAAGACCACTTTTTATGGCAGACACATTGCAAATATCATTTAATATTCTCATTAACTTAGTAAGGGAGGCATCACTAATACAGAATACATTTAACCTTGATTAAATACATAGTTCATCAATGATGCTATATTTTAGATGAGGAAATCAAAACATGAAGTGGTGAGGACCTTGCCAAGGGTTAAACAGGCAGTGGGATTTGAACCCAAGTCTGTGATGTTCCAGTCTTGTGTCCGGAATTGGTGGGTTCTTGGTCTCACTGACTTCAAGAATGAAGCCGTGGACCCTTGTGAGTGTTACAGTTCTTAAAGGTGATGTGTCCGGAGTTTGTTCCTTCTGATGTTCAGACATGTTCGGAGTTTCTTCCTTCTGGTGGATTCGTGGTCTCGCTGGTCTCAGGAGTGAAGCTGCAGACCTTCGCTGTGAGTGTTACAGCTCATAAAGGCAGTGTGGACCCATGAGCAGCAAAGAGCGAAAGAACAAAGCTTCCACAGTGCAGAAGGGGACCAGAGCGGGTTGCCAATGCTGGCTCTGGCAGCCTGCTTTTATTTATATGGCCCCACCCACATCCTGCTGATTGGTCCATTTTACAGAGAGCTGATTGGTCCGTTTTGACAGGGTGCAGATTCATGTGTTTACAATCCCTGAGCTACACACAAAAGTTCTCCAAGTCCCCACTAGATTAGCTAGACACAGAGCCCTGATTGGTGCATTTACAAACCTTGAGCTAGATACAGGGTGCTGATTGGTGCATTTACAAACCTTGAGCTAGACACAGAGTGCTGATTGGTGTATTTACAAACCTTGAGCTGGACACAGAGTGCTGATTGGTGTATTTACAATCCCTTAGCTAGACATAAAGGTTCTCCAAGTCCCCACTAGACTCAGGAGCCTGGCTGGCTTCACCTAGTGGATCCCACACCGGGGCTGCAGGTGGAGCTGCCTGCCGCCAGTCCCTCGCAGTGCACTCACACTCCTCAGCCCAAGTCAATGGGACCAGGTGCAGTGGAGCAGGGGGCTGCGCTGCTCCGGGAGGCTCAGGCCTCCCACAGGAGCCCACGGCGGCAGGGGGAGGCTTGGGCATGGCAGGCTGCAGGTCCCGAGCCCTGCCCCACGGGGAGGCAGCTGAGGCCCAGCGAGAATTCAAGGGCAGTGCTGACGGGCCAGCACTGCTGGGGGACCCGGCGCACTCTCCGCAGCTGCTGGCATGGGTGCTAAGCCCCTCACTGCCTGGGGCTAGCAGCACCGGCCGGCTGCTCTGAGTGTGGGGCCCGCTGAGCGCACGTCCACCCAGAACTGGCACTGGCCCACACGTGCTGCATGCAGCCCCGGTTCCTGCCCCCGCCTCTCCCTCCACACCTCCCCGCAAGCCAAGGGAGCCAGCTCCAGCATCAGCCAGCCCAGAGAGGGGCTCCTACGGTGCAGTGACGGGCTGAAGGGCCCCTAAAGTGCGACCAGAGTGGGCACTGAGGCCGAGGAGGCACTGAGAGCGAGCAAGGGCTGTGAGGGCTGCCAGCACGCTGTCATCTCTCAGTCTGATCTGTTCAATAGACCTCATTGCCTATTTGTCCTTCCAGCAAAAGCAAAGCACTCCATTTGGAGTGTAAGTATATTTAAATTTTATAAAATGCTTTTACATACTTCATTTTCTATTTTCTCAGAATTAACACTTAAATAGGTCCACGATAAATTCTAAATCATATAAATAAACACAAAAACTTTACATCCCTTACCTTATAGGTGGTTTAGCGACATCACAGTGTCTGTCATCCACTCCCTGAAAAAGACAAGCAAAGCACTCAAAGACTACTTCCTATTCAGAGATGCCTTTGCCTCTTTAATTAAAACTGTGAGTGTGTCTCTGCTGTATTCAATAATACCGAATTGGAGTAATTTTATGAGAGAATTGGTGTGAGTTCAGGGCTTTGGGAGAAACCCAGATTAGAAAGACTAATTGTCCTATCATGTTGGGAAAGAAGAGCTAGTGGAGAATTTTCAAGTTACCATGTGTATAAAATTTGTGTGAGGGAAGGGGATAGATTTTTTTTTTTTTCTTAAGCAATTTCCAGATTTGCAAAGGGCAACATTTGATATCATGTTTTTAATGGAGCCTAGATTCCTCATGGCTTGCTGGAGGCTTTACCAAGCATTGGTGATGCCATTGCTTGAGCTGATACCATTTCGTCTATGAGCTGATACCATTTTGACCTTTCTTATAAAGATAATTATGGCATTGTATATTCTTTTAATCTTTCTATTAGAAAATGTGGATTTAGAGTTTAGGTGCACATGTTGTTCCTGTGTGCCTAACTTGCTCATCTGAACTTCACAGTGGCCTTTGTCCCAGATTTTCTTGTTCCATGACTAAGATCAGATTAGGGTGGGGCTCTGTCTGAATTATGATGGCATGGGGAAGCTGGAGAATACCCACTGTGCCCTCATAAAAACATTTGTAATGGATTAAGTTAGGAAAACAGCACTCGAGATTTTTTTGAAGTCAGGCTGAATTTATCCATGTTAAATTCTACTGATTAAGCTGTGTAGCTGTGTGTGTGTGTGCGTGTGTGTGTGTGTTGCCTTTTCTAGCAGGTAAAAGGATTCTTGAAAGAATGATTAAGCTGTGTAGCTGTGTGTGTGTGTGTGTGTGTGTGTGTGTGTGTGTGTGTGTGTGTGTTGCCTCTTCTAGCAGGTAAAAGGATTCTTGAAAGAATGTTGGAGCTTTTCCAGAATCCTCTGGGTAACTTCAGGTCTTAGATTTTTTAATACCTAGGGAATAATTCTAACAGCATTAACAGTAATCAGCTTCACTGACACTCAGGTTCTTTATATAATGTATCCTACTATACATTATTATTTAGCCATTGAAAACTATGCATCTAAAGCATATGTAATAACTTGGGGAAATAGTTTATAATCATCAATAAAATATCTTAATTCAAATTTAAATTGAGTCAGGTCTCTTTTGGTTGCCAGTAACATTGACCCCGCTCAGATAAAAGGACTTTTATTTTAAGTATGTTTCAGGAGCCTCATGAGAATCAAAGCACAGGAGTCAATAACAGACCTCTTGGAAACTGAATCTGGAAAATTACTAAGCACAAAGGTCTTCTCTCAGGCTACTAGATTTTCCTGTCAAGGCTTCTACCTGCATGCCTACTCCATATTTCTCACTCTACCACTTCAACCTCCTTCCCTTAAACATAATTTTGCTGTCTTCATAACTTCAGCGGGCACATTGTCCAAAATGTTTTCCTTAGCTTCAATTATATCATGCATCTGCTCATCTCAGCCTCATTACTAATTGATTTCATCTCTCAGTCTCCCAATTCCAAATTCCTAAATTGAGTGGTCTAGCTCATTTTTTTGTTTGTTTCAGTCAAACCACAACTTCTAGGTCCTTCGTTAGTTAGAATGGACTGTGGTTGTATCCAGTGGCCAGAGAGGTCCGGTCACATTGGTGTAAGGTATGTACGCCCAGGCTGGAGGAGCCCTAGGTGAACAAACATCATACATGTGTCTAGTACTTAAATATTATGTAGAAATATGTATAGAAAATAGAATTAGAAAAATAAACAAAAATATTAACAGCAGTTTTTAGGTAGTGATTTTACAAAGATTTTTCTCTTTATTTTGTCTAATTTTTCTTTAATGAATCATTTTATAATCACAAACATTGTAAACTTCATGCATAAAAACATATTTAGAAGAATGATAATGTTAAAACTAAAAGAGACTTCAGGATGATATAATTCAGCACCACCTCGATTTATAAAAGTTGAAACAAGCCCACATAGATGAAATGACTTGCCCAAAGTCACAGAGCAAGGGAGTGGCCAAGCTATGAGTTTTCCAACTCTTTTTCTTAAAGGATCTTAGCTGCACCTGATACTGCCTTGCCTGAACCAAATAAGATAAATGCCTCTGATTGCAAGTCAGAGCCTGTAGGTAGCAGATCTTTGAGTGTGCCATATACCTGTAAACTGTGCTCTACATCTTTAGAGCTTGGAAGTTTGTTAAAATAACACCTTGTTGACTTAAAGCAGAACTCTAATCTGTAGGTTTCATTAAACCATCATTTTACTATGAGGTACATTTTGTTAAGGGCTTCTATTTACACAGTTCAAATTGTCAGCTCCATTTCATGTTAAAGTAATACCAACAGTAGAGCAGCAAAAGAGGAATGAGGGAATTTCCAGATGTGAAGTACAGTCTCACTCTGTGCTTGTGTCTGTCTCTCCACTCGGGTGGCTTTGGGTTCCTGCTCTCCAGTGTGTTTACTCTTGATGGATTAACATGATCTCTTAAGAACAGTATAAAGTCTTCTGAGGTAAGGTTGAGGTAGAGATTGGGAGGAGCATGAAATGAGATCTACATTATGGAAAAAAAGGAAAGGAAAGGTAGAAATCTACTAAGGTTCCGTTCGAAAACAGGACTTCAAGCTGAAATGAAATACCATCGCTTAAAGAAAAAGATTACTACACAATTTGAAACTTCTCCAGCTTAACCTAAAGCAAACAAATGCCCTGAGACATTTAGTCATTTCTGGGCATCAAAATGCTCAAGGATAATTCTGGCTCAAAGGCACATAGAACATGTAAATTTCCCCTGCATGGAGCCTTAGAGAACCTGAAAATAGGATTCAGATAGAAGTTCCTGGACTTGATTTTGAGTTTATTTAGTATTCATTTCAACTTTGGTTTAGGAGAGGATAAGCTAATACAACATATGTCATATGAATGACAGACTCAAGGCTGAAGAAGTCTCAGTAGTCTATAATGATAGCTTGAAATATGCAAAAAAAAAATTGAGATGAAAAATTTTAAATATAAATAAATGTAAAGTCCTAAACTCAGAAACAAACAAAAATTAGTCACACAAATAAAGCATAGGCTGATGTTGTGTAATGGTAACTGACATAAAAACATCTCCGAAGCTTCAGTTAATATCAAGCTTAATATAAGTCAAGAGTGTATAAGACAATGATCATAGAAAAAAAGGTCTAAAATAATTTTTTTCAGGTTTTAGTATTTCATATTAGAAAAATGGTGTAAGCAGACTGGAAGATGCCTAAAATAGGGAGTAGGGTCTGTAAACCGTGTCTTAGGGACTACAAATGTTTATTTTGGATGAGGATATTCAGTTTGGGGGAATGAGGGAATGGAACACATAATAATGCTTTTCAGATATTTGAAGGACCTTCATAAAGTTAGACGGCTTTCATATAGAAACAAAGCATTTAATTTACGGGAGGCAGAATTTACTTCCAAATGAGGAGGATCTTTATATAACCAGAATGTGTTACTGTGTGAGATAGTGTCTTCTCTATTATTAGAAGAATTTAAGCAGAGGTTAAAGAACGTGTTAGATGATGGTGGGGTTTCTCATAAGACTATGATATGACAATGTGTATGAAAAACTTAACAGTCATTTAAATTGTTTTTTATTCTTTTCCATCATTTTTTGCAAGATATATAACTGCCTTTAGTTAAAGGTAAATATTGGCTAAATTTGGATAATAAAATGACTTAAAATAACAGCCAATAAACCAGCAGTCAAACTTGACCCCAAGCATTCCATAAGTAACGAGTTTTCTTACACTTGTGGAAGTGCAATGAGACCTGTGAACTATTTTTTTTACAATTCTCTCAACAAACATTTATTGAACATCTACCATGTACTAGGCCGGCACTATGGCAGAGTCCAAGACACAAGTATGGCAAAGACATGGTTTCCTACAATTCCAGTATATTTGGGACTATAACCCAAATAACATGCAGGATGTTATATTCTTAATACTAAAATGAACTTCCATTTTAAACTTTTCTTGATTTAATGTCCCCCCATCTTGTTAGATGCTTTGACATCCTTAGGTGAAAGTTGTTCATATGTACCTTAGTGAACCATTTGTAATATTTTAGTAACTTTCAGGTGAAACCCTTTAATGTCTGCCAGTTAAGAAAAATGGTTTTACTACATTCTTTTAAAGTGAAGTAGAAAACAAATGTGTGTGAACAGTATTTGTTACAGGCATCTTCCTCTATCCTGCTGTCTTTGAATATCTAGCAGGTTTATTCAGGTGCTTATACCTAAGATATATTTTTATCTTACTAGTTGAGCTAGTGAAATTTAAGTTCTGAAGAAATCTCAGATAATTAGAGGCTCTTTGATCTGGAATATTCCACAGTTAATGTGTGAGCAGATGTTGGCCTGCATTAAGCACTAAGATCAAAAAAGAGTTAAATGGGAGGTTAACTTTGCAGGCTTCAGTGGTATCCAGCTGGTTCTGGACTTCTACTTAGACATGAAGCAATTGGCAAATTGGGTTCCAGTGTTATTTGCTCTTTGATTACTTTGCAACTAGCTGCTTGCTTGCTTTCTTTATATGTATATATGTATGTGTGTGTGTATCTCTCTTTCTCTTTTTTTTTTTTTTTGCAAATTACATCAAATTGTTGCTTTTGTTGTTTAAAGCAATCTCTGAACTTGCATTCAATTTGCTAAACCACCACATTCCCATCTGGGTGTGTAGGTTCGGGGGTGGGGTGAAGCTAGGGGGAGAAGTCCTTGACCAAATCTGTGTTGCTACTTTTGAGCTGAAATGTGATCCTTTTCAGCAAAAGACAAGACAGACTAATTCCCCATATGGAGAAAAGCCAGGCGGCTTAGCAAGCTGGACACGTCTTCACCATTGCTTGTTGCTTAGGGTTGGCTGTCTAATGAATCTGTGTTCTGAGGACTCAAGTATGAGAGCTATGTTCTTAGAAAGATTCATAACCACTTTTCTGAATACCCTTCCCCTTAAATCCACAAGACAGCACAGTTGAGTGTCAGTTGCTTTATTCCAGAATGTCCGACAACAATTTTTAAATAATCATTATATCCAAATACTCTTTTTGTTTGAACAACATGTATCAGCACTGAAACAGAAGCCACCATTGGTTAAACTCACACTCCATCACCAATGGCACAACTATGGGAAATCAGATAGAGTGCAGTAATAATGGTGAACTAGAGTGTCCTCAGATTATATGACACTTTCCTGCTTACCTAATGCAATCTTATAAAATGCGGGAAAGATCTCTTTTCAAAGCTGTCTGTGTATATTAGTAAAAATAGAAATATTAGATGTCTTCAGCAGTAGCTGGGATCCAAGAAGAATCACTGGTTTGTATCTTTCCAGTCCTGGTGATCCCCAGGCACAGGCTGGTTGAAATACCTATGCCAAGTGGTGTTAGAGGAGTTCCTTCTAGTGATACTACTCTTGCCTGGTTATGCTGGAAAGAGCACCTTCATAGTCCTCCCTGCTGTTACTGCTGGACCCTGGCTATTATAGAAGACAGGCTTGTGATTTCATTCACTGTAGCAGAAGTCACATCAGTCTACTTACAGTTCCTTGCAGTATTTAACAGTTGTGTCAAAATGAGCAGAGTAAGAGCACACTCAAAAATATCCATATGACTTTTATTTGTTTTAAAAGTTTTCATCTAAAGCAGAACAGGGAGAGTCCATGTAAATAACTCTCCAAGAATGACTCCACTTTTTTTTTGGTGTGTAATGGAACATCTTCAGTACCGCTATCCCTACCAGATTGTCACATCCTTTCAGCTGAGCCCTTGCTCACATCATCCAGCACGATACTATCAACACAGATAAGTTTCAAGCCCACAATTTCTGAAAGTCAACTGAGGGAACTACAAAATTTATTGCTGGAAATTCCCAGATACCACTCCTATATGTACAGCGTTATGATTGTTAACACGAGGGATGGAGCAAGAAGCACTGATGCTGTTTTGCATAATTATTAAGGAAGTTCTAAAGTCCTGAAAGAGCCAGGTAGGTTCTGGTCTAAAGATTCTTAATCACTTTCTATGACTTTATCATAGTGCTGCAGCTTTATATTTCTCTCAAATTTTACTCCAGACTATTAGGCATAGATTCTGGCTAAAACATTTTCTTCTTTTAAATAGTTTGCAGAAGTCTTGCATATAGCATGGCCAAGATAAAATATGCATATCTGAGGAATTAAAACTGCTCACAAGCCATTAGTATAAATGTCTTGCTTATAAATGATGAATTCTAGGGAGGAAATCATGCTATTATTTCAAGGGACTCTGATTGTTGTCCTCTTGTAGTTTGACATGAATCAGTCTGAGCTCCTACCAATTAAATATACATTCTTATTATCATAACAAGATGAACCAGAGGCTTTCAAACATCAAAATATCTGTTGGAGCTGGCATACAATAAACTAAGGTTCACCTGTCCAGATGGTTCTGGACATCAACTTTAGGTATAATATCCCTTCCAGCCTCAATAAAGCATTCAACAAAGACTCCAAAATTTACCGTACTTGATGATGAATCTCAGTAGGACATTGATAACCCAAAGGCACTAGCCAGTGAGACTGTATTAAAACATGCAAATAAATTTACAGGTATTAATGATGATATTATATCCAAATTTAGACCAGCCAAAGCAACACACCAATGAGAACCAAACAGGTTTTGCATTAGGGCTGGTCCCCATCTCCTCCCACTTGCAAGTAGATCTCAAAGCAGTGTTTCCTCTACGCTGCTGGGTGAACAGAAGCCTAGTGCCCATGTAAGCCATGAGCTACAGCCTCCCCTAACCTTTGTGACCATGGTGACTATGCTTGCCTGGCCCACCTACTAGGCCTACTTCCTTTTAACTCTTCAGCCCTACATAACTTTCTCAGCTAGTTTCTATGGGACTGTTTTTCATTGAATTAGGACTTCCTCACTGGTCTCACCTTGGGCTTCCAGGCTTACTGGATAATCCTACCATGGCTACTGAGGGCAGATACCTCAAAATCTGAACAAGATGAGTTCCTGAAACCTCTAAGATCCATTTTGTTTTCTCTGACCACTGAGTCTGGCCCAGATTTGATTGGAGTTTCTCACCCTCCTTCAATACTTGTTTTGATGTAATAATGCTACCCGGTTGTGTAGCAGACTTTTCCGAGGGCCCTGACTTGGTGCTGCTTCAGTCTTTCCTCCTAGGCAAAAGCTTCTATCAGAGCTTGACCTATGCTAAACTATATTTTAAATCTAGAAATGCATTTTATAACAGACAAGTAGAGGCTACTTCCCAACAGCATCAGTGATCTGGAGCATTTTAGATATTCTTACAGATAAGAGACTGCAGAAGGTAGGCATTAACATTCTGTTTGTAGATTCAAGGGCATGTCAAGCTTGAACAAATATGCCTTGCAAAATTTATTAAATTGTAAGCCAGGAGTGTGTTGTAAAAGTCACATCACATGGACTTAGTTAATCTTTATTATTCTGTAATGTAAAATATATGAATTGGATATATTCAGTGGGCATAGAGCCATAGATCTAAAAAAAAAAAAACTCAGTAATAGCTTTTAAATGATTCTGCTGTAATAAGTGTCAGGAAAAGTTGATTCTTGTTTTAGTTTTTCAACAATATGAAAAATAATGTATCCTGGGGTCCTTTGCTAAAGTTGGGAGACTATATAGCCACAATTTCCATTGCTGAAATGTCAGTGTGAACACACAGAATTGGCTTTTTCAGAGAAAAGCTTCCACTTAACCTTGTGAGGGGCCTATGAAAATCTCTTGGAAAGGGAAACAGTTCACAGGGAGAATGAATGTTTAGTTAAATCACCAGAAGAGACCAATTGTACAAAGTTGCCAACAGAAACACTACCTGGTTATTATTTAAGAAAACTGGAGTTTCCAAGTAGGATCTATTCCAAAAGTTATTACTTTTGGAACCCACCAAGTTTGAATATTAGAAAAAAAATATCTTTTGTTTGAAGAAATAATTGGTGGCTGAGCTCTGGAGGTAGTATAATTTAAAGCAGTGGTCCTCAAGTGTTCCAGTGCCTGAGAATCACCTAACGGGCTTATTGCAAATGCAGATATCAGGCCCTACTGTGAGACATTCTGGTTCAGTAGATTTGGAGTGAGGCCCTGTAGTCTGTCTGCAAAATAAGTACCCAGGTGATTTTGATGCCAGCTCCATGAAACACCTTTGAAAAATTGAGGAAGTAGCATGGATTTTGATAGTGGACAGAAGTAGACAAATCCTAATTTAGCCACTTGTTTGTTTGTAGTCTTAGGCAAGTTCCTGCACTTTCTGAGTCTCAGTGTCCTTATCTGTAAAGTGAGGATACAATACTCCCATAGGATTGTTGTAAATATTGAATAAAATTTGTATAGAAAGCACATGCAACAGATAGTAGGTATTTAGTAAATGTTAGTTTTCTACCAAAATTTTCTACCAGGGTTATATAAAAAGTAGAATGATAAAATGAGACTTAGAGAGGAACTGTAAGTCTATTATTAGTACATGACTGTGTAGTTTGTTGTCCAAACTGGGACACTTTTGAGAATTAAAGGGAGGTTCTAATAATACTTTTTGTTTTTAGAGATAAAGTCTCCTTCTGTTGCCCAGGCTGGAACACAGTGGCATGATCATAGCTCACTGCAGGCTTGAACTTGTTGGCACAAGCGACCCTCCTGACTCAGCATCCCAAGTATCTGGGACTACTGGAGCACACTACCATGCCCAGTCTGCCATTGATAATTATGCTAAGGCAGCCAGTGTAAACCCAGGACTGTATAGTCACCTTAATTATCAGTAAGATGAAAGATCATATATTTGCATTGCCTAAGCTCAATCTACTTGATATAGTTTGGATACTTCCCCCCTCCAAATCTCATGTTGAAATGTGATCCCCTTGTTGGAGGTGGGGGCTGGTGTGAGGGCTTTGGGTCAAGGGGGTGGATCTCTCCTGAATGGTTTGATGCCACCTTTGTGGTAATAAGTGAGTTCTCACCTTGTTAGTTCACATGAGATCTGATTATTTAAAAGAGCCTGGCATCTCTCTTGTTCTGTCTTTGCTTTCTGCCATGAGTAAAAGCTTCCTGAGGCCTCACCAGAAGCAGATTCTGGTGCCATGCTTCTTGTACATTCCGCAGAACTCTGAACCAAATAAACTTCTATTCTCGATAAATTATGTGGCTTCAGATATTCCTTTATAGAATCACAAAATGGACTAACACATTACTCTCCATGATTCTTAAACTGAAAGAAGTGGATGTGATCTTTTCAGTTGACTTTGCAAAAGCTTTTCAACTACTGTTGTTAAGCTCCTTGCTGCCAGGGCCTGTTCCCAGTGCATTTCTACTGTCTCTGCAATGGCTGGTATTGGTACAATGTAATAAACATAGTAGATTCCTAAGAAAAGATTTTTCAAATGACTACATGGATTATTATCAGCACTTTAGTTTCTGCATCAATCCAGTTATTCTCAAATAACAGATATTCTAAATCAATAACTTCCATTTTCTGTTTTGTCTGAAAATTTCCAAAAGCACCAGAATGATGAGGATCATAGCACAATTCTGTTCAAATTTCTCTATTTTTTTTCTATAAAGAATTATATAGAATAAAGCCCACTCATCCCATGAATCTCTAAATGCAGGTCAACTGACAACTTCATATGCCAAAGAATGCTATTTTAATAACAGAAGGTGGTTGGTTGTTCCTTTTAACAGGATATCATCCTTGCTGTCAATAGATACTTTGGTAGTCAAGAGAAGAATGACAGAAAATAAAAGAATTTTGTAGCTCTTTTAATACCCTTGAAGCTGAAATAATTTAAAATATAACGAAAATGGAATATCAAGAAATGTTGATTTAAGGATATTTATTGTAGACATGTTTGTATCAGCAAAGGACCAGAAACAGTTTGTGTTCAACAAGGTGGGACAGGTGAAATAAATAATGGTAGCAGTTCTTAAAATGTGGCCCATAGACTTCTGTGGTTGACTATAAGAAGAAAGCTATTTTCTTAGTAATACAAAAACATTCCTCACCGTTTTCATTGTTTTGACATTTCCACTGCAAATGCAAAAGCAATGGTAGGTAAAACTTATGGTGCTTAGCATGAATCAACGTAATGGCTCCCACTATCTTCGTAGTTATTATATTCTTCACTACCACACAGTTTCATTTGAAAAAATAAAAATTTTACTTAAGAATATCCTTAATGAAGCAGTGTAGGTGATGACCAATTTCATTAAATCTTGACTTCTTGAGTACTTGTGTTTTAATATTTCATGTGACAAAATGGGAAGCATGAAAAAAGCATTTTTGCTGCATCTCGAAGTTCAGGGGTTGTCTCAAGAAAAAACACTCTGCAATTGTTTCAATTGGAAGTTGAACTATAGTGGAGTAACATTTTTCTTGAAAAAATGACTGACAGATAAAATGACAGAACTGAGTATTTGAAAGATACTTTCTCAAAAATAAATGAAGTGAACTTGCCAATTCAAGGAAAGCAATGGTCCATATTTCTTGACAATGGTACAATTTGAGCTTTCAAAGGAAAATTAGAACTTTGAAAAGCGGGCTGTCACAGTGGCTCACTGTAATCCCAGCACTTTGGGAAGCCAAGGTTGGCAGATCACTTGAGGTCAGGAGTTCCAGACCAGCCTGGCCACCATGGCGAAACCCTGTCTCTACTAAAAATACAAAAATTAGCTGGGCATGGTGGCATGCACTTGTAGTCCCAGCTACTCGGGAGGCTGAGGCAGGAGAATCACTTGAACCCAGGAGGCAATGGTTACAGTGAGCTGAGATCGTGTCATTGCACTCCAGCCTGGGTGACAGAGCCAGACGTCTCAAAAAAAAAAGAATTTTTTTTGCAAAGTATGTATCTGCCCCTATGAACTTGACAAAATCCCAATATTTAATAACTTTCTGGGAAGATTGGTGTTGATATTAATATAATTTTGTAGTATCATATAAAATATGTCAACATTTGAAATAAATGGTTAATGCATGATGCTATAAAATCATATATGGGTAAATGATTCATTCAAAGTGTAAGATAGCTCAATAGAATTTAATATAACAAAGTAGGAAAAGTTTATTGAGGTAGCTTCAAATTCTGTAATGCAACTAATCTTTAAGAAACTACCGGCTGGGGGCAGTGGCTCACGCCTGTAATCCCAGCACTTTGGGAGGCCAAGGTGGGAGGATCACGAGGTCAGAAGTTTGTGACCGGCCTGGTCAATGTGGTGAAACCCTATCTCTACTAAAAATATAAAAGTTAGCTGGGCGTGGTGGCATGCTCCTGTAGTCCTAGCTACTCAGGAGGCTGAGGCAGGAGAATCGCTTGAACCCGGGAGGCGGAAGTTGCAGTGAGCTAAGATCGTGCCACTGCACTCTAGCCTGGGCGACGGAGCGAGACTCTGTCTCAAAAAAAAAAAAAAAAAAAAAAAAAGAAGAAGAAGAGGAAAGAAACTACCACTTTGGCAGGGCTCAGTGGTTCATGTCTGTTATCCTAGCATTTTGGGAGGCTGAGATGGGAGGATCACTTGAGCACAGGAGCTCAAGACTAGTCTCATTAACATACTGAGACCCTGCCTCTTCAAAAGTTTTAAAAAATTATCCAGGCATGGTAGCACGCAACTGTAATCCCAGCTACTTGGGAAGCTTGAGGCAGGAGGATGGCTTGAGCCCAGGAGTTCCAGGCTGCAGTGAGCTATGATAACACTACTGCACTCCAGCCTGGGAGACAAGAGTGAGAGCTGTCTCTGAAACAAAAACAAAAACAAAAAACAAAAAACTACCACTTTGAGTTTCAGTGTAGTTGGAGAAGAACATTTGCAATTATCTAAAAAGCCTATTAAAATACTCCTCCCGGCGGAGCATGGTGGCTCACCCCTGTAAATCCTAGCACTTTGGGAGGCCAAGGCAAGTGGATCACTTGAGGTCAGGAATTTGAAACCAGCCTGACCAACATGGCAAAACCCCTTCTCTACTGAAAATACAAAAATAGGCATGATGACACATGCCTCTAATCCCAGCTACTCAGGAGGCTGAGGCAGGAGAATCGCTTGAACCTGGGAGGCGGAGGTTGCAGTGAGCTGAGACTGCGCTACTGCACCCCAGCCTGAGTGAGACTACGTCTCAAAAAAAAAAAAAAAAAAACTCCTCCCTTTTCTACTTCCATATCTGTGTTAGGCCAGATTTACTGCAACCAAAACATTATCTGCAACAGATTTAATGCAGAAGCAAATATGAGAATTCAATTATCCTCAATTAGGCCAAACATTAAAGAGAGTTACAAATTTTATAAAGTAATGCCATTTTTTTCTCACTAAATCTTTTTATTCTGAAAAATATATTAATTTTAATTTTCACCAAAAGTGTATTGTTTATATTAATATGCGAGGGGCTTATAAATAGATTAACTTTTAATTAATATATTTTTAAATGTATCATGATTAATTTCTGATACATAGAGATAGATAGATAGATAGATAGATCTATCTCTTTGGGATCTTTAGTAATTTTTAAGAATATAAAGTTTTCAGAGACCAAAAATGTTTAGAATTGCTGAGTTATGGTATATTGATAATATGGAGTTCTCAAAAGGGGGAAGGGTGGAAGTGGGGTAAGGGTTAAAAACTTACCTATTGGGTACAGTATTCACTATCTGGGTGATGGGTATGCTAGAAACCCAAACCTCACCATTATGCATTATATCCATGTAAGAAACCATTATGCATTATATCCATGTAAGAAACCATTATGCATTATATCCATGTAAGAAACCTGCACATGAATCCCCTGAATCTCTAAAAAAGTGGGGGTGCTATGCAATCATGGAAAAGAGTGAAGTAGATTTATATGTGCTTATGTGAAATTTATTCCATCCTGTATCGTTATGTGAATGAAGCAAGTTGCATTATAATATGTATAGTATGCTTCCATTTGTATAAAAAGGGGAGAATAAACATATAGAGAAACATAGTTATATATACATATTATTTATGTGCATGTTATATAAACATACATATACACATTATTATTATGAATGAACTGTGTTTACATTTGGAAAAGTGGCCTAGGATTTGGGTACAGGGGAAAATAACTTCATGGTATATCCTTTTCTATTTTTAATTTTTTTTACAATGGATTTATGCTATTAAAATTAATAATTTTAAAAAACAAGAATTATACAAAGAGGTAATAAATTGTCCAATATTTGATTAACATGCTTAGTAGGACAGAATTGGTCATAAACCCTAGAAATATTAACACTGCGTTTACCAACTTTGGCTCATTAACTATTAAAAGAATGTCTCCTTTTCAGTTCACAGTTTCAAATTTTAACTTCAATCATAGCAAATAAGTACTTTTTGTCCTGCTTCCTGTCTTTCTACAAACATTTATGTTTCATTAGTGTTAAGCAATTTTACTGGCAGTGCTTATTTTTGTTAAAATGCAATGGCACAATTTCATAGGGCAGGAAGTGTCTTTCCTTCTCACTGGATTCAGTTTATCGGATGAGGGAAAGGAAGACAAACAGAACATTTAGGACAGAAAAGATAAGGATCACGGGGGCAGAAATTACCAAAAGAATAAGGGGAACAAATGAGAATGAGAAAGGGATGGGTGACATTGGGAGGGGCGTGAGGCCAGAGAGTGAAATGGGACAGAGTGAAGAACAATCTGGAAAGAAATCAGGAGAGGAGGAGGCGGAATTAGTGAAGGGTCAGAGAGCAACTGGCTAGGGAGGAGTGAAAAGGGGAAAGAAAAGCAGAAATTGAAACAAGAAACTGAGTCGAAAACAAAACAAACAGTCTATTGAAGAAAAGTAGCCCCCACAACAAGTGACTGGGGGATTGCTGACCTTGGCTGCAAGAGAAATGGGAATAAAAATCTCCAGACGGAAATTCAGTGGAAACTGAGGAATTGAAGGGGACATGACGCTTGACAAGAGGGCAAATATTTTGATTTAGATGAGACTCTTTCCTTTTAGATATAAATTTGGGGTAGATAGTTTCCAGGTGCCAATGATGGATCTCTCTAGCTTTCTGTCCCCATGTTCCATCTGGGAGGCAGAATGCTAGGGAAGGGGATGCTGTGACAGCTGGGTAAGGAGCAGGAAAGGAAAAAGAAACTCCTGTGATCCGTTATCCTGTGAGGAGAAGAGAGGACAGTGAAAGGGTCCTTTATCCACTG
Organism: Homo sapiens; assembly: GCF_000001405.40. Taxonomy (NCBI): domain Eukaryota; kingdom Metazoa; phylum Chordata; class Mammalia; order Primates; family Hominidae; genus Homo; species Homo sapiens. The sequence continues at coordinate 81,565,769 of NC_000004.12, read as the reverse complement.
GCTGTGCAGCTGGAGACCGTGTCTGTCCCTCCAGCTGAGCAGCAGCCCAGCCACTTCTGACCCAGACAGTCCCTGACAAACAGCGTTCCACCCACCAGCCTCGGACTGTGGCCAAGGAGCTGTGGGAGGCGGGGACTCAGCAGAGCAACCTCCAGACTAGAAGATGAGGGAAATGGAAATGTTGAGAGAGAAAGGCAAAGAGGGGACTCACATTCACAAAAGTGACACTTTTACACTAGAAAAACTTGAGTACCTAAATGGAGGAAGAAGGATAGGAAGAGGGGCCCTCACTCAAAGGAACAAGTCAAAAATACACCCAACTGGATTTTGACCTAAGGGTTTGCCTATGATTCATTTTAAGGAGTATTATTTATTCTGTGATGATAAAGAATTTGGGGGTTCTGTGTCAGCAGTTTGTCAGTGTTGTTATCATCACCCGGATGCTAGATTGCCCAATTTTAGGACTGAGCTCTGGCAACTGGAACCCAGTTCTCCAGGGTTAGAACTATGTCTAACCCTGATCTGCTCTTTGCAAGCAGCTGGCTGTGCCATAGAAAGGACATCAGCAAGCTCTACCAGGCAACAACAGAACTAGCTGCACAGGAGTAATGTACTGATCTGCCAGCATAAAACATGTGTTAGTCCACAGTGGATGCAAGGATGAACATCCATAGAAAGCAAGGACGGGACAAGCTAGTCACATTCTTGTCTTTTGGTACCATTATGACCTGTCTATATGGTTTCAGTTGGGCAGAAATATTAGCATAATAGCCCTAATATTGGGCTAACACTAAGAAAGAAGCACGTGTTCTCAAGTGATGCAAAAAGTCAGCAGAAGTTTTTTTTTAATTACCCTAAAAATAAGTGATCCTACCAGGAGTGGTGGCTCATGCCTGTAGTTCCAGCACTTTGGGAGGCCGAGGTGGGCGGATCACAAGGTCAGGAGTTTGAGACCCTCCTGGCCAACATAGTGAAACCCTGTCTCTACTAAAAATACAAAAATTAGACTTGCGTGGTGGCGGGCACCTGCAATCCCAGCTACTCGGGAGGCTGAGGCAGGAGAATTGCTTGAACCCGGGAGGTGGAAGTTGCAGTGAGCCAAGATCGTGCCATTGCACTCCAGCCCAGGTGACAGTGCAAGACTCTGTCTCAAAAAAAAAAAAAAAAAAAAGATCCTAAAACAGCTGGGGATGAATCATTCAACATAGTTGATCATTTGTCCCTTGAAACACTAGATTAATTTTATTGTAAGCTTTTTATGTGGAATTATATTAAACAATGTAATTCATTTTTCAGCTTCTTAAAAAGTATATTCTGGTTATATTTTTGCCTTTCTTTATTACTCAGTGTTAACTATTGTTAAAATTTAGTTATTTTCCTCTACAATTATATATTAATGATCTGGGACCTACTGAAGGTTGTAGACTTGTTTGCCCCTATGCCACAATCTGTATATCAACCGGATGCTTCAAGGTTTTCTTTTTATAATTTTCTGTTCCTTTCCTTGTTGCCACACTATCAGTAGCTACTCCACCCCTTCTCAACCCCCATTCAACTTGTTGGCTCTAATCTACTAAAGTCTTGGAAGTCAAATAGCTATGTGTACAAAAATTATGGATAAGGTAACAGGAAATAGGCTCTGAATCAGTACGTGAGCAAAATACCTGAACTTTAGTGTGTCAAATTTGTCAGTTTGTCGGTTTCAGTGTGTTTTGTTTTTGTTTTGTTTTATATTCTCATCTATGATCTCATTAACAGAGACTTCCAGGTGAATTCAGGAAAAATGAAGTACTTTTTAATATAAATTGAGGAAATCCTAGCCAATTGTTGAGCTTTATTGACCACAAACTTGACAGTGGAAATAATATTTGCAGAAAGGAAGGGCAGATTATTTTCTCCAAAATCAAAACATATTTATTACCCTAAAAACTTTAATTTGTGGCTATTTTACAAAATTTTAAAAATAAAAACTTTTTAGATCTCAAAACTTTTACCAAAGATACCCACTCTTAATATTATGGTCTTTCAGAAACTACCATTTAAATGACTGCTGGTTTTCTTTTAAATGGGAGTAATCAGATGGAATTATAGAGCTCATCATTTTGTATATATAGTACAAGTTTGTAACATCTCTACATATCATAAATATTTTTGCTTTGCAACATAATCTCCATTAAGAGCTCAATTATTGCCTAGTATATTGAAAGGGTATATGTCAATGTGTATATTTATTGGTCATTGTACATATCAGTGTATTTAGATTTTTCCACTTATTTTGTGAATTTATGTATTTGATATTTGAACATAATTTTTTTTACCAGATTGTTTTAATTTTGCCTTAATATTTTATTTTCTTTTGTCAGTTTTAACCATATTGTATAAATTATACAAGATAAATTCATTTTTCTAGCAAGATGTATTTTACAAAGATATGAACTAAAAAATAGAATTCATTTGGATGGAAACTTTCTTGACAGCACCCTGTGTGAAAACACTAATCAAAGACATCTGAGGTTGTTTTGTTTACTCAGATGTCAAAAAGTTTTTTCTCTCTCATCTTGCTTATTTTAAACTTTGTCTTCCTTTTCTCATTCGAAATAATGATTTTTAAAAGGCTATTCCTTTTCTGAATCTCCTGTATTCTCCAACCTATAAATAAAATCCTTCGACTCCTTTTGAAGTAGCAGTGATTCAAGCCTTATACTTAAACCAGGTGTATTGTTTTTATATTTATTGGTAATATATTACTTCATGGCATCCAAATGGATAAAGAGAATTTTGTTCACAGAATGTCCATACTAGAGGGAAATCTACTCACCATTGATCTTCCTCACAGATATCTTGAGAAAGAAAATATAGCTTTTATTCCTCTGTTTCTGAAGTACATGGAAACTATAGCAAGGAATTTAAGGTCATATTATATCACTTATTAAATGTATTAGGATTTATTAGTTGTACCCATCTAGCATGATTTTCAGTAAGAGGAGAAACTTCCATGTGGAGACTCAATAATAGATTTAAAATACCTGAGTCAGGTATTACACTTCTCTCAAAGATTTAAGGCATCCTTGAAAAAGAGTCTAAATGCAATAAGTTAGTGTAATATAACCAGTCTGCTGTGGAACACTTTCACCATGTCAGATCTCCCAGTAACAGGTTTTCTGAACTTGGGCTAGTGACAAGCTTACCTAGGCCTCAGTTTCTTCATTTGTAAAATGAAATGATTTGGTTCCATGAGGAGGCTGTAGATAAGCACAAGGTGCTACTCCTGGTTAGAATCTCAAAGAGAGTCAACATTAGAATGTTGATCTGAAAAAGCTGATATAGGAAGAATATTCTTCAGTTATGACATAGACTCCACCATTTATACAGGTTGGAGGGAAAAAATACTTTCTCATTTTCATGATTACAGCTGCTGGTTTCATTTCCTCCTTTGTAGGAACCCCCTGTTTTTACGTACAGGAAGGATGCTTGAAATAGAAGTGAAAGCAGAAACTCCAGGCAATATAGGAAACACCAAGTGAATGTATATGCCTGCAAGGGGACCTAGCTCTTTATCATTCTGAGTAATTTGGAAGGAAAGGTATTTAACAATGTCTGCTTCCTCAAACAATACCTTCCTTAGGTGAATGTACTGCCTAAAAGGTATTAAACATCTGAGTCCAAATTTCAAAGTAGAATTTCCCAAGGAATTTTCTTATAATAGAAATAAATGTTGTCACCTACTATCAGAGGTCAATTGAAATTTTTTGTTATAAATTCCTATCAACTTACTATTAGTAATTAAATAATTAGGGGCCTTTGAGTAGAAAGGCTGTCAAATGAGACTGGCAATACAGATGGCTTGTAAAGAGAACAGAGTCACCAAATACTTCTTAATGAGTAGCTAGTTCAAGGCAATCCAAAGCACCTCTCTATTTTGCCAAGCATGTTTTTGGTATGGTTATGGACATGGTGCTCCTGCAAAGACATTGCCCCAAATTCGGCATCTTTCTACATGGTTGCTTATGCTTCAAGCTGTTTAATAGCCACAGAGCCCTCCAAGGCTGGGCCTAGATTAGCATTTTTGAATCTTTTTTGATTATAACCCACAAAAGAAATGCATCCTAAACCATGATCCAGGACTCCCATATGTGAATGTATGCTTGTACGTATATCTACGCCAGTCAGAACGGTGATTTTTAAAAAGTCAAGAAACGACAGATGGTGGCAAGGTTGTGGAGAAGTATGAGCACTTTTACACTGTTGGTGGGAATGTAACTTAGTTAAACCATTGTGGAAGATGGTGTGGCTATTCCTCAAAGATCTGGAACCAGAAATATCATTTGAACCAACAATTCCATTATTGGGTATATACCCAAAGAAATATAAATCATTCTATTAAGAAGATATATGCATGTGTAAGTTCATTGCAGCACTATTCACAATAGCAAAGACATGGAATCAATAGAAATGCCTATCAATATACTGGATAAGGAAAATGTGATACATATACACCATGGAATACTATGCAGCCGTAAAATAGAATGAGATCATGTCCTTTACAGGGAGGGACATGGATGAAGCTGGAAGCCGTTATCCTCAGCAAACTAACACAGCAACAGAGAACCAAACATGGCATGTTCTCACTCATAAGTGGGAGCTGAACAATAAGAACACATGGACACAGGGAGGGAAACAACACACACTGGGGCCTGTTGGGGGTGGGGTTGGGGGAGGGAGAGCATTAGGAAAAATAGCTAATGCATGCTGGGCTTAAAACCTAGATGACGGGTTGATAGGTGCAGCAGACTTCCATGGCACATGTTTACCTATGTAACAAACCTGTACATCCTGCACATGTACTCCAGAACTAAAAATATAAATTAAAAGAAAAAAAAACAAAGCACATCCAGAAAGAGTGTCAGGAAATGATACTCTTACCAGATAGGATGAGATTTCCTGTTTTAGCGTATGTTGCTTTATTTGTTAAAATGCTGTGATGACCCACTATACTGACGATACAATCAACAAATAGGTTTCAGTCTACAGTTTGAAAAACATTGATCTAAATTAATAATAATTATGATAATAAAAATAGCAACAGTGAATAACAATACAATAAAAAGTTTCAACCAACAGAACCCTGGGCCTTCTTTAGAAGAATTAGTTATCTAAGAGTGACCTTGAGCAGGAGATATAGAGAGACTATCTTATAGTGTACGAGGATTTTCTGAAAATTAATAAAATTGTGACAACTGCTTTGGAGACTCTGTCTCATTCCACTGATTCATCTAAATACTGTTGCTTCAGATGTTAGAAAGATCTACTATATATACTCTGATCTTAACTGGACTTGAGAATTAAAAGAGAATTTAAATGTATAACATATCATAATTTTTTGAGCTGCTAAGAAAGAAAAAAATGCTGCTAATTATGATTGTAAAATCCCATGAATTCTATGACATTTAATAGACATGTTAAAATATGAAAAAACATACTTTTTTTGAAAGCGTTGCTTCTAAAATGAACACTGAACTAAGACTCACTTGGGGGCTCTCCTCAGGCTTTCTGGGTCCCATGTTCTTCCCTTCATAGGAGAAATGGGAGTTTGCTTATCTGTGGGGAAAATTAGCTAGGATTGTATTTTATTAATTTTGTGGAATTTTTTAGAATTATAAATTCAAAAGCCATCCTTAATGACAATCTGGATCCTACCTCCTCATGTTACAGTTGAAGAATCTGATACCCAGAGAGCTGATGTGACTTGCCCCAGTTAACACAACAAAGTAGAGACAAAAATAAGTTTAAAAGAGAAAAGAGGCGAGGTGCGGTGGCTCACGCCTGTAATCCCAACAGTTTGGGAGGCCAAGGCGGGCGGATCATCTGAGGTCAGGAGTTCGAGATTAGCCTGACCAACATGGAAAAACCCCATCTCTACTAAAAATACAAAATTAGCCGGGCGTGTTGGTGCATGCCTGTAATCCCAGCTACTCGGGAGGCTGAGGCAGGAGAATCGCTTGAACCCAAGAGGCAGAGTTTGCAGTGAGCCGAGATGATGCCACTGCACTCCAGCCTGGGCAACAAGAGCGAAATGCGGTCTCAAAAAAAAAAAAAAAAAAAAAAAAACAATAGAAAAGAGAAAAGAAAAAAACATCTAGTTGTCAGACTGGAAAGGAGAAGTGGCAGCCCAGGGAAAATTGGGGCTAGAACCCGAAGCCTCTGCTCCATTTGTTATGTCTCCTCAGCTTTTTTAAAAAAAATAGCCATAGGCTCCTTCCACCCTTTTAATTTAATATTTCCATTCTGTGAAGAGATATAAATTATTGCTGGAAACTCTTTCTCAAACATCGTTTACATGATGACACTAATATTTTTTCCTTCTTAAGAAACTCAGGAACTGCTTTGGTTTCAAACCAATTATTTACTTTCTGTCAGGTGATCAGGATCTTCCACTATCATCTTAATTTGTTTATTTATGGTTTATACCCTACACACTTTCTATAAGAATTAGCTGGATCAGCCTTTCCACCTATTCATCTTAATCCAGTCACACTATCCTATCTACTGTTTCAGTAAATCCCCTGCCATCATCTACATGTGGTGTGAAACTTTCCAGTTCTGTAACTTTACAAATGCTCTTCATTGTTAACTTCTGTTTTCTTGTAAATCCAACATTTATCTATCTCCTTTGGAAAACAATCTTTAATTAACATTGTTTTGTGGTCCATACATGTTTAAACATATTCTACATTCCTTTCATTTTTACTCAACAGTTAACTTGAAAGATGCTAACTGATCTTGGCTTTTATGTATTGTGTTCCCTTAAGGGTACCACTTTTGCACTGCCCTGACTTCAAGGATAATGCTCAATCTACAGCGTTTCCTGACTCATGTGGTCCCTGTCCTCAAGGAGCTAACAATTTAGTAGTAGCACATACTCCCCACTGAGCTACAGGAAGGAATACATGCACAAAACAGCAAAGCTGTGTTCATGCTTATTCATAAATGGTTGGTTCATCACCTCATGAATAGCAGAAGGCACAGAATATTTGGCTAACGAGAGACTCTGACCTCCTCTCCCAACACTCACTATCTGCATCTTAACATTCATCCCATACTTAACTATCTCCAGTTCCTCAAGGATGCTTTGTCACACCTCTGTGCCTTCATTCATAAGCTTATTAGCCTAGAGCACCCCTCACCCCGTTCTTCACCTGGACCAGACATGTCCTTTACAAAATCTCTCAAGAAAGGTTCTTTCTCACCACCACTCTGCCCATGCTCCCTTTCACCATGCGGCCATGAAGTTTGAGTGCCTATGGCCCATCACAGCACTTGTCACTGTATCCTAATTGTCTGCTGACATTTCCCTTCTCAACCAACCTGACAGGTACTTGTGGTAAGGTGCCAAGGATCCTTTGGCACCTCGAATGGTACTGGCAACTATAATCTGTGATCAACTCCCATTATCCCAGAAAAATGAAAAGAAAATAAATTTGATCAAAATGCCATCCCTACCCTTAAAGGGAATGACACTTTGTGAGGTTAGTGAGCAAACAGAACCACAGTTGCTCATCCTAGATATTAGAAGTTATTCTTAGAGTCAGACTGCTCTTCAGAGTTCATTTTTGATGGAGAATACGTCACATAAGCTTGTTAGCCATATTTTAGAAAAAAAATACCATCTTCTAAAAGGTTAGAGCCAGCTGGATTTCTGTTTCAAAGACTCATCAGGTAGCCTTAGAAATGCTCTCTCTCTCTCTCTGTCTCTCTTTAATACTGCAGTAGTTTTATCACTGCCATAATATTTTCCAGGTTGGGTAACTCCTGATATATTGCTGAGCTCATTTTCCCTTGTTTCTTTACCTTTTAAAACTAGTTATATGCATATTATCTTTAATAAAGTTCTATTAATTCATTTCAGTTGACTTTATCCTCTACTATTGCATACACTCCATTGACAATGTTTTCAGAGCCAGGGAAGGGTTCTTCTTAAGGAAGGAGAAGGCAGTTGAAATTTCTTTTCATGTACTCAATGAAAAACCTGAATATCAGTCAATTTGCATTCTGGGATTCATAGTCTAGAGATTCCCTGTGCCTTGAACCACAAAAGAAGCATATCTCTGGACAGATCTTTGGTGGGACCCAAATATGAATCATATTAGAGTATCTAACTGTCCTGCTTTGCTAGAGGTCAGGAAGTTTAACCTAGTAGAAATGAAATGGACTCTGCAGTCATATAAATATCTGCAGAATGCCACATGCATTGTGAGGATGATGCAAAGGGCATCTGAGTCACACAAAGCTTGATTTATCTTCTTCTGCAGTTTGCCACCTGGATAGTGTTGGGCAGTTTATCTCTATACCTCATGGGGTTCTTATGAAATATGTATGCAAAAGAGTACATATAAAGTCTCATAGGTATTTAATGTAAGGTACATATTAAGTGCTTTAAAATGTTGGTTATTGCTAATATCATTTCTAGGCTATTTTATAAAATTGCTACAATATTAAATAATTTTTCAGTAGCATCTCACATTATTCAAAGACTTAAATTTAAAAAACAGCCAATAGCCTATTGGGCTTCAACACCAGCATTGATATTGTAGATTTAGGATTTTTTTATGTTCCTTATTTCATTTTGTTTTGATTTTCATTCAGGAGTGACTGCTGGCTTACCCCGTGCCAAACACTAGTATTGTTAAAAGGTTGAATTGCACATGAATCTAGAATACTGTTATTGATATTCAACAGAGTTCCTTTTGTGTGGAGTCCTTTGTAAAGCTCTCTGGTGGCTTCTTTTGGCTGAATCAATTACTTTCGAAAACTTTATTTATCCAGGAAAAACCTGAACTGGGGAGATGACTTTATTAAATGACTCGTAAATCCAAGAAGCAGCTTCCAAATTATTTTGTCCATGATATGTAGGAAGAGAGCTCTTACAAAGTCAACAGGAAACAAGAGGGATTTGTTCCAGAAAATATAACCATGCCTACTTAGGCCATGAGAGAGTACCTCAAGATTCTGCCTATAGATTCAAGGTTCTGGAGGCAGATTCTGTAAGCAGCAGGTCTATTTAAAAGAGCACAGCATTTTGGAAAGCTCTTCATAATTTAAGGGTAAAGATAGATTACTAAATAGAGAAAATCTAGATATACAAATATTAAAATGTGAAGAGGGGTTGGTGGGATTGCAGGTAGATTTTTTAAATTTATGATTTCTTCTAACTTTAGTAATAAGATAAAAGTCACATAAAAAAGAAAGTGAATGCAGTTCAAAATTTATCAGAATGAAGTTCACAGACCTTTATATCAGTTCCTATCACCTGATATCAAGTCACCTTAGCTACTGATATAACTATGAAATGGGAATTGGATTATATTTAAAGTACCTGGGCTGAAATGCCCCTAGAAATTGCAATATTTGCAGCGATACTCATAAATACCTGGGAGAACAAGATAGATGTCTACGACATTTTTTTTCCTGTTCATGTGGATAACAGCATCTCCCACAGAATATTTTCAAAGGTACTTTTGCCTGGATCACTGAGACCCACATGCGTCCTTTAATACTTCACTTAAAATAGTGGTTAGAAACTGTGATGTTTATTCATTAAAACTGTGATCCTATCATTTAAAAAAAAAGAAGTGTCTGCTTGTTATTGCAAGGAAGTGGCACAGAAGCCTCTTAGTAAATAACTGACTTATCCCAGAGGACTAGGAGAACTGGACAAAAAGAATTTTACAAAAACAAACATATAAGCAAACAAACATATTTATAAAAATTAAGATACACCATATGAAGCAGAAACTTTAAAAAATGAGTAAGCTTGTCTTGCCTTCCAAAGTTAAAAAGGTAGTAATTAGAATTCAGAAAACAAACAATAGAAAAACTCACTGAATAATTCTTACCACCAAAGAACAAAGCCATGCCAAACGTCAGCTCGCAGAACCACACAGAACTCAACTTCTTCCTAAACCAGGAAAGATGAAGGAGATAATATAACAAAGAATGCTTTGTGTCTTAAATTTTGTTTCACTTTCTGGCGGCAAGATAAAAAGTCTCTTTCCCAAAATGAAGCCAAGTGATCTTGAAGGTAAACTCTGTGGGCTAGAAGCCATTCAACATTGAACTTTCAGTTAGACCTCAGTTAAACAAAAACTCCAGGTGAAGAAAGAAAACCCAGAGTCAACTGCCTTGAGAGAGACTGGAATAATTCCACACCTACTGATGGCTGAGCCTCACCCTTTGTTGAGTAAAAGTTTGTGTTGATTGTGGCAAGGGGATCTGCTGGGTATGCCAGGGAAGTGTATGCTTGTTCATTTTTGTATGGTCATTCCTTTCAGGCATGAGTCCTTCATGAGAGACGAAGTAGAGTGTAGGTTTATTATAGGTTTTAGGTCTATTTTTGAAATTGTGTTTGGTGCATTTAATGCAACTGGTAATTGCAAAATCCACCTCACCTGTGTAAGTGAAAAATATGGACTGTTATCTTGTTGGCCCTGTGAAATTCCGCACTTGGTATTTAGTATATACTCTACGTTCATTAGTTGCTTCTGACAAGATGTTCTGCCTTAGCACCCAGTTGCAGTCTTTTCCTTTTCTTTCCTGTTCATTATGCTTTAATGAGGACCATATGAGGGTAGAATATGTTATCTTTTAAAAGTTACGAAAATTTGTATAGGCAAACCATTTTCTTCAATTTGATGGCCAAATGTTAGAATGTTAGTTTTCATATCGTTTATAATCTTGTCACAATTTACTTAATGAAGTTTGGTTAGATTTCAGTGAAAATTATCTTCCACAGTAGTTCCCCCCACCCCCGTGCCCCCCATCCCCAACCCCGGGAAGGGGGCAACCTTACTACAATGAGTAAGTACGGTACAGAATTTCATGCAAATGAGGTGTGCCGGCAGTGTACTAATTTAAACGTATTTAAACAAAAACAAAAAAAAGAATGCACAAACACTGTTACTTAGATCACTGCAGCTTCTAGGACCCAGTTTCTTTTACTGATTTAAAAACAAAACAAAACAGAAAAACCTGTAATATTCAAATGAAGAACTCCTCACTCAAATAAAGTTTTATGATTAGTTGCTACCTCTACCTGCCACTCTAAACACTGCTTGTCTTGCATGGCAAATTATGTTTTGTGAATCATTGATCTGTCTTAGTTATTAATCATTATTTACCCAGAAATCCATGGATAAATAGACCCCACCAGCAGGTGGTTCAAGCAGTGACAGGTAGTAATATTTCTAGTCTTCTCTTTAAAGACTTTTCAGGGTGGGACACAAAAGGAAACTCTCCAAATGGTTAAATAAACATTTAGTTGAACAAAGATTGATTTCTACAATTATAGCAACATCATCCCAACAGAGATAGAGTAAAGTGAAGTTGTATATTGGAATTTTTACACATTATATAACTTTGCAATTCATTTGTTAGAGTAGTAATATGGTTTGGCTCTGTGTCCCCACCCAAATCTCATGTTGAATTGCAATTCCCAATGTTGGGGAAGGGACCTGGTAAGAGGTGATTAGATCATTGGGGCAGATTTCCCCCATGCTTTTCTCATGCTAGTGAGTCAATTCTCACAAGATCTTCAGGTTTAAAAGTGTATGGCACTTCTCCCCACCCCCACAACTTCTTCTCTTCCTCCCCACCCCTCTTTGCTGCTCCGCCATGTTAATATGAGCTTGCTTCCCTTTCACCTTCCACCATGATTGTAAATTTCCTGAGGCCTCCCAGTCATGCTTCCTGTTAAGCCTATGACACTGTGAGTCAATTATACTTCTTTTCTTCATAAATTACCCAGTCTCAGGTAGTTCTTTATAGCAGTGTGAGAATGGACTAATACAAGTGAGCAGAGTATAAACTAGATTGTAGGACTTCATGTAGGTATCCTGTTTGTCAGTATTTATGATACCAGTAACTTTAATTATAATGGAAGGTGTCATTTTTCTCCACGTATCTTTTACTTTTGAAATTCTATGAGCAGAATATTTATTGGTGCAGTCTTTCCCAGATATTTTTAAGCCAAGTAGTATTCCATTTTTCCCCCACAAATATGGTAATTTGATAATTATAAAATCTAGCCCTTATTGAAAAATGTTAATATATGTTATCAATGTTGCTAAATATCTAGCTGTGTGATTTTTGTTTTAAAGATAGATTCTGAATTGTTTGTCAAATAAATATTTAATGAGCATCTGTTATTTGCTAGCTATTGGGAATTCTGATCTCAAGGCATTTCAAATCTAGTAAAGGAAACAAATAAAAGACAATAAAAAATCAATGTGAAAAAGGTGAACTTTAAGCATAAAGAAAATATGCTACAATAAACTTAGCAACTTATTGGCTCATTTTTCTGAAATGTATAAGATTACACTAGCCTCAGGGCCAGTTATATCTAGCGGCTCAAACAATATTATCAGGACCAGGATGTCTTTCTCTCTTTCCAGCTCTTGACTTGGCTTTCTTTGTGCTGGTGTCATTCTTAGGCAGCAGATTGGTTCCAACAGCTCCAAGCTTACTCTCACCAAAACAGAAACCCCAACTCATTAGTTCCTGCAGAAGTCTCCGGGCTGGCTCTAATTAGCCCTTCTTGACTCATGTGACCACTTCTGATACAGACACTGTGGTTCCTGTGATACACCATTGTCATTGGCTGTCTGGTTATATGGACTGAGTTAAGGATTGATACATCTACAAGGAAAAATCAGAGTGCTACTAGCAGGAGAAACAGCAGATGTTTCACCATACATGATCACCAATTATATGAAACAGGAATTCTCATAAACACTAGATTCACTGACTTTTTTGTTTATATCAATTTCTACTTTATACTAAGTGTGTCTGTTCTGTACTTGAATATTGTCTGTAAGGAGAGGTCTATAGCAGATTTCCCAAGAGGGACACACAGAATCACCTACTGAAACTGATGTCCACCACAGAGTTGAGCAATATTCCAGTGTACCACTGAAGAGCCCAAGGCATGAGCAGACAAAGCCAAAAAAAAAAGCAACTGCAATGAAAAGTAAGATTGGATAAAGAAAAGCAGTGTAAAAAATAAAGAAATATGGAACAATCAGTAAAGCATATTCCCAAATTCTTCAATTCGCTGATGCTTGGGAGCTGTCTCTATGGATGCCTGTAGAGATTTATCCTACCAATTGAGAAAAATAGTGTAGATCAAATGAGCTACGGTGACTTCCAAGTAATTTAAAAATTATTAACTAAAAGAAATATTTTTAATTCTTTAATTTTTATCTCAGAAAACTGAATAAAAGCAAGAGACAAACTAATTAAAAACCTTAAAATGATCCTTCCTATTTGTAGAAAGATATTTGTTTCATTTTCCAAAATGTTAATTTAATGCTTTAACATGGCAGGTCAGTTACATAAACAGGAAATAATTTATCAGTAAATAATAACTGTGTTTTTCCACAAGACCAAAATGTTCCAGTGACTTCTCAGTAAATGAGTTTACTTTATAAAAGATCTATTTTTATAACTCAAAGGTCATTACCGGTCATTGCTACCATAATTATTCCATAAATAAACTGAAAAAAAGAAGTATATTCAAGAAATTCTGTAATAGAAATCCAGGCCTAGAATAGTCATGTATGAAAAAAGGTAAGCTTAAGTATTTATTATTTTTTATATGTTCACAAATCTTTCCAATTTAGGGACTACCTAATGATTCTAGTAACAATAATAAAAATTATAGTAAAAATTAGTTCCTCCCTGTACTTCATAGCACTTTATGTGTCTGTTATAGCATTTATCATGTTTCATTTTTATGAAATTCATTATGTCCACATTTCATAGAAAAGGGTTTATGGCAGGTATCATTTGCCTGTTTACATGTCTGCCTTTATACTTAGACTGTGAGATCCTTAAGGACAGGAACTAAATATGATTTTTTAAAAATCTTCACACACTGTATTTAGCACCTACAAAAGTTCTAAATAAATGCTGACTAAAATAAAAAATGAATAGATGAATTAATAGACTCTTCCATTTAAATGACTTCTTGAACTCCTCTATTTATCTTCTTTGTTAGTTTCACATTTTAAGTGTCTCAAAGCTCACTTCTCCTTCAGTTAACCAGCCCTCATGTATATGCCTGCTTACAAAATTATATTATGACTTATGCAGAGTGGAGAATGACAACCTGGGCCTGGGTCAGATTCACTGCTTAAGTGTGGACGTGGCTGGCAAAGTCTGGTTAACTCTCAGGACAGACCCACCAGTTGTCTTTGTGTTGAGTGAGGAAGAGACTCCTGGTGAAAAAATGCTAATGATAACTATTGCTGACATTATAGACGTATATGGGTATGTTTGGTAAATTCTTAGTCTGCTCTGTAGATTTTCAGGGAGAAAGGGGACTGTGATACCTTCTGGAAGAGAATTAATTCTAAGGGAAAGTAGCCAAGTGTGACAGGCCAGTGAATGCACCAATGGCGCATTCTTTCTTTGGAAGGAAGGAAAGGGGGCTCTCTGCACTAGCAAAGCTGCCACTTGGATTGTCTTCTCTGCCAGCCCATTAGACCCAGCAAAGGCAGGAAGATGATAAGCCAAAGCTGGAAGGACTCTCTTAATAAACTTTCTAACACTTGGGGGGTACAGACTAGAGTGCTTTGGGATCCCTAAGTAAGCTCAGCCATTTTCCCTCTGCTCCTTCCTCACCAGCACTTCATCAACTGCATAGTCTCAAAGGAAGAAATGTAATCTCCCATCTTCATGTTTTCACAGAGGAGGGAGCTTCTTCCCATCAGGGCTGTGGCTTTGAAAAAAAGCTTCTAGCTTCTCTGCCAACCCTATCCCTGCTTCCCTACAAAGGAGAAGGGTAGCTCCTTTCACTGGTGACAGCCTCCTGTTAGGAAGAATTTCCCTGTGTTAAAAGTGACTGCTCCTGCACAAGTCTCTTGCTCTTTATGGCCCGTGTGCGAGCAGTGGCGCTCACGTTCTCCACCCCTCTGCTTCCATGGGATAAAGCACAGAGGGAGAGTCAACCTCTTACTCTTTCCTCTTTACACTCTGGTCAGCCAGTAATGAGGTCAGATAGGATGGGCCTGTGATCTTCCAGACAACTGGCTCGATGGCAAGTTTGCTCTGAAGATCTATTTCTCCCTTACCCTCCCAGTCCACCTCAGGCTCCAGATGACCCCAAGGTCTGAATGTGGGTGGGGATGCAATGACATGCTTTGGCTCTGGATCCAAATTGCATTTTCCAATCCAAATTTACTGTGGTTCTCAGAGCCTCTTGGGCACTTGCCCAGATTGCTAATAAATCTGGTTTACTAATAAACTCACAAGTGATCATCAACTAGCTTTCAGTTCCTAGAGTCTGTACCTTACCCATTGGAACCAGGTGGGGAGTCAGGGTGGATCATAATCTCATTTCCCATACAACCCAGATACTGCTCAGACACTGTTGAGGCCCAGGGAATCAGTAGAGTGTGCCTAACAGGGTGGTGGCAGAGGAGTGTCGTGCACCCTGGAAAAGCTGGCACAGTGGCCTGATATAGTGTTGGTGAAGCACACCAGCCACAGCTGGGCCTCGAGGAGCAGCGGGAGAGGCTGTGGCTCTTTGCTGAGCATTGTTGGAGGAGCCGCAGTGCCCAGCAGGCATCTACTCGTGATTACATATGAGAACAGGAGATAGCGGCTGGGGATTCCCAGAAACGTTTGACCCTGGGGAAGCTTTACATGGCTATTGAGAAACTGCATCATGTAGGCAAAGCCAGTGAAAATTAGATTATTAAGTGATCTCATTCATATGCTCAAGCTTATGGCCCTTGGGAAAATTATAGTTACCCTCATTTTACTTTCAATCTAAGCATGTGTTGTGTTCATCTGCACCTCGCCCAAATTGGGTGATTATATCAGGGATATCAACTGATTAATTCACTTCAAATGCTGACATTTTGCATGTTGCTGTTTAAATGAATATCAGTTAAAATAAGCAAGCCACCGTTGTCATGAGGTATTAATGTGCTAGTTCAAGCATTTAAAATTATTTTTTGATCATGTCTGTGAGCCCTGAGTTTGGAATATGGTGAAGAGTAAGCCTGCAAGCTAGAAATGAAGACATACTCCTGAAATTATTTTTCAAAGCCAGTGTCATTATGTCAAGCTGATTCTCTATGTCCCAAAGAAATTCTCTTTCTTGCTACCTCAAAACCACCTTGAAGATCAAAACTGTTTGGTCTCAAAGATAATTTTTTCAGCTAAGTTGTTATTTCAAAAGATAATGCAAAATCTATATACAGTTTATATTTGAAGGCTGTTCCAACAAATAGATGCTACTTAATACTTTTTTAATATATTTGACTTTTGACTCAGCACCTAAACATAATATATGCTTTTATAAACATACACACACATATTCTTATTTTGCTATAAAATATAGCTTTTCACTTACAAATATTATGGTTATAATTTTAGACATTTCCCAAATTTTATGATTCATTTCAATTTTTCTATCATAAACAGTTATTCTCTTACATGTGGTAGTAATATTTGTTTCCTATTTTCCTTTCTTTTTTTTTTTCTTTTTTGAGACAGTGTCTCACTCTGTCACCCAGGCTGCAGTACAGTGGCATGATCTCGGCTCACTGCAACCTCCGCCTCCCAGGTTCAAGCGATTCTCCAGCCTCAGCCTCCCGAGTAGCTGGTATTACAGGCGTGTGCCACCATTCCCGGCTAATTTTTTTGTATTTTTAATAGAGACGGGGTTTCACCGTGTTAGCAAGGATGGTCTCTATCTCCACACCTCGTGATCCACCCGCCTCAGCCTCCCTAAGTGCTGAGATTATAGGCTTGATGTTTCCTATTTTCAATGAAATAAAATGTAATATAATCCTGAAACTATGGAAATACTCTTCTATGCATTAGAATATTTATATGGTTTCTATTCTTTTACCTTTCAAGAATCAGAAATTTAGGACTGGACACAATGGTTTATGCCCCGTAATCTCGGCACTTTGGGAGAATTGCTTGATCCCAGAAGGTCAAGACCAGCTGCCTGGGAAGCATAGTGAGATCCTACCTCTAAAAAAATTTTTTTTAATTAGTCAGGTGTGCTGGTGCATACCTATAGTCCTAGCTACTTGAGAGGCTGAGGTGGGAGGATCACTTTAGCCTAGGAGGTCGAGGCTGCAGTGAGCCTTGATCGTGCTACTGCACTCCAGCCTGGGTGATGGAGTGAGACCCTTTCTCAAAAAATAAGATTTAATCTCTTACTGTCTGTAGCCTGGATCAGTATTAGAGCTTGGGGTTTTTCAAATGGAAAATTCACATCTAAATTGAGTTTGATCAGCTTTCACATCATTAATTTATTCCATATATTTAAGAAAGTCATTTCTAAATGAACCATATGTTCTCAATATTTTTATCAGTTAGGCAGTCCTTAGGGTGTTTTTCTAGCTGTATTGACAAATTGACAAATAGAAAGATTTTTTTTTCTGTAATTTTGCCCCAGTAGCTTTTCCAAAAGGTAATGATAATGTTTTGACCATAGCAAGGTAGTCTGGCATGATGAGGTTAAGGAGTAGACTTTTAAGAAAAGGAGATGTGGCCTCAAATCTTAGCTCCACTGCTTACTGGCTGTGTCATTTTGACTAAGTTACTGCAACCTTCTGAACCCCAGTTTCTGCATATGTGAAATAGGAATTGTTTATGCGTGCTGGGCAGGTTAAATGAAACAAGATTTGTTGAGTACCTGTAACATAAAAAATGACATATTTAATATCTAATAATACATTTCTCTAGAAGTTCAGCTATTTATGGGTTTAATTCATTTTTTAATAGTTGTAAAGTTATAGAACTTTGAAGCTGGAAGTTACTTTAGAGGTCAATTAAGTGGTATTTCACAGATGAGGAAACCAAGGCACTGGAAAGTTAAATGGTGTAGAGTCTTTGCCTATACGTTTTGTATAATAAATGAGAGGCAGAATCTTACTTGTTCTTTTCCATCTTAAAATGGTAGGAAAAACGAAACTTCAGGGAAGTGGTAGCAGTTATAAGGCAAATTCCAATGACAGTGTATGGTTCATACCTAAAGTAAGGTAAATCCAACTATTCAAAAGGAGGGAGAAGTTCTTTTACTTTACTATTAGAATGCATCTGAATGCTTTAGAGAATCTTGAAAATTCTGAGCTGCATGCATATCATCAGTTGTCCAGTATCTGGGGAAGCAGTCATTCATTGTGATTGATGACTTTATATCTTAAAGATATTTTAGATACACTTAAGGTATTTTTATCTGAGACTATTACAGGGTTTTAAATTTGATTTTGAGAAGTAAAAATTCCTGGGCCCTAATCCCATTAACTTCCATATATAGAGGGCTTCATTTTTATCTGCAGAACAAAAGGATTGGCTTAGAGGAGTATTTCCCACATTGCAATCTTTACATTACCACGGTCCCAATTTTTATTGTATACATACATGTAATGTTATTTGCTTTTTAAAATAGCCTCACTTTTTAAACTTAACCTCATCCTAAATGATAATATCTAGGAAGTGGCACATTTGCTATACTGATTACATCTTTTCTCATATAAAGATAAATTCATGACTATTAAAATAAAATATCTGCCTATACCACCTGAAAGTATCTCATGTACCACTCTGACTTTCTGACAGCCTTAGCATAGTTTCACTCTTATTCCTGCTCGTTCCTAATTTTGGGCAAAATAAAGTGAGATCTGCAATAACAAAGCCCTTTCTATTCTCAAGCTTTTAGTCTCTGGGATAAAAAAGAGCCACCACCCTAGATCCATGTGCTTTTTTGGGTGAAAGGGTGGAATCCATGTGCTTTTTGATAGACACTAAGAGAATATAAAGGCAAAGTATAATTTCCTCTTTGAAATATTGGTTTAAATGATTGAAACACCAACACTAGGAAGTATTGTTATTTTCAGATTACTTCCAATAACATCAAATTAAGTCCAAATCTTTATTATCAAGTTGAACTTACCCAAGGAAGCGTCACATAAAAACTATCATTCTTTTTTTTGAGACAGAGTCTTACTCTGTCACCCAGGCTGAAGTGTAGTGGTGCGACCTCAGCTGACTGCAACCTCCACCTCCTGGGTTCAAGCAGTTCTCTGCCTCAGCCTCCCAAGTAGCTGGGACTACAGGCACCTGCCACCACTCCTGGCTAATTTTTTTGTATTTTTAGTAGAGACGGGGTTTCACCATCTTGGCTAGACCGGTCTTGAACTCCTGACCTTGTGATCCACCTGCCTTGGCCTCCCAAAATGCTGGGATTACAGGCGTGAGCCACCACACCCGGCCAAAAAACTAACATTCTTAAAAGCCTTTGGAAATGTTAACGGCCCCCCAAAAAACATTCCTTCTAAGAATAAAGTATTTGAATAGGAACGTGTGGAAGAAAGTACGTAAAAATTAGCCCTTATTAATGAAGAATGAATATTTTGGAAAAGATCTTGGAAAGCAAAAGGAAATCCCAGTCCCACAGCAATGTTTTCCAGTAGACATAGACACTGATGTCTTGATGGACTTTTTGCAAAATTTCTTCTCTTAACCAGGAACTTAACATTACATTCCACCATTTTTCTCAAATCTAACAAATCCATTTTCCTTTTTTGTTTTTATTAAACGTATACACAGAATTATGGCTACTTTTACTAGATAGATAGATAGATAGATAATAGTTTAATTGATAGATATATACGTGTGTGTGTGTATGTATCTATGTCTATATAGTTAACATAGACATAACATGCTTTGTTTGGAAGGACTTTAGTTATTATCTCAACATCACTCAAACTGTCCACAATTTCCATGCAATGTTAAATGAGTATTCTATTAAAAAAAGATACATGATTAAATAACATTGGTTAACATTGGATTAAACAAAATTAAACAATATATAACACTACATACATTTTGAATTTTCAAGAAGAGCAACTAGTAGTACTCTCAAACTAAAATGTGCATATAAAAATGCATTTTGATGGGTCTGAGATGGGACCTGAGGTTCTGCATTTCCAACAAGCTCCCAAGTGATGCTGATCCAGTTGGTCCAAAGCCCACATTTTGAATACTAGGGGCGTCTTTCTTAAAACTTTATTTCAGCAGTGAACTGTGCCACCTTACATACAGTTGTTTTTTAAGGTTTTTGGTTGACTGTTTGGGTGAGCAGTGAATTGGTTGATATTTGTTGGTTTTGAAAATAAACTTCCTTTGCTGAGCAGAAGCTCTTTAGTTTAATGAGATCTCATTTGTCAATTTTGGCTTTTGTTGCAATTGCTTTTGTTGTTTTAGTCATGAAGTCTTTGCCCATGCCTATGTCCTGAATGGTATTGCCCAGGTTTTCTTCTAGGGTTTTTATGGTTTTAGGTCTTACATTTAAATCTTTAATCCATCTTGAGTTAATTTTTGTAGAAGGTATAAGGAAGGGGTCCAGTTTCAGTTTTCTGCATATGGCTAGCCAGTTTTCCCAACACCATTTATTAAATAGGGAATCCTTTCCCCATTGCTTGTTTTTGTCATGTTTGTCAAAGATCAGATTGTTGTAGATGTGTGGTGTTATTTCTGAGGCCTCTGTTCTGTTTCATGGGTCTAAATATCTGTTTCAGTACCAGTACCAGGCTGTTTTGGTTACTGTAGCCTTATGGTATAGTTTCAAGTTGGGTAGCATGATGCCTCCAGCTTTGTTCTTTTTGCTTAGGATTGTCTTGGATATATGGGCTCTTTTTTGGTTCCATATGAAATTTAAAGTAGTTTTTTTTTTAATTCTGTGAAGAAAGTCAATGGTAACTTGATGGGAATAGCATTGAATCTATAAATTACTTTGGGCAGTATGGCCATTTTCATGAATTGATTCTTCCTATCCATGAGCATGGAATGTTTTTCCATTTGTTTGTGTTCTCTCTGATTTCCTTGAACAGTGGTTTGTAGTTCTCCTTGAAGAGGTCCTTCACATCCCTTGTAACTTGTATTCCTAGGTATTTTATTCTCTTTGTAGCAGTTGTGAATGGATGTTTGCTCATGATTTGGCTCTCTGTTTGTCTATTATTGGTGTATAGGAATGTTTGTGATTTTTGCACATTGATTTTGTATCCTGAGACTGCTGAAGTTGCTTATTAGCTTAAGGAGTTTTTGGGCTGAGACGATGGGGTTTTCTAAATATACAATCATGTCATCTGCAAACAGAGATAATTTGACTTCCTCTCTTCCCATTTGAATACCCTTTATTTCTTTCTCTTACCTGATTTCCCTGGCCCGAACTTCCAATACTACGTTGAACAGGAGTAGTGAGAGAGGGCATCCTTGTCTTGTGCTGGTTTTCCGAGGGAATGCTTCCAGCTTTTGCCCATTCATTATGATACTGGCTGTGGGTTTGTGGCACATAGCTCTTATTATTTTGAGATATGTTCCATCAATACCTAGTTTATTGAGTATTATTAGCATGAAGGGGTATTGAATTTTATTGAAGCTTTTTCTGCATCTATTGAGATAATCATGTGGTTTTTGTCTTTAGTTCTGTTTATGTGATGGATTATGGTTATTGATTTGCCTATGTTGAACCAGCGTTGCATCACAGGGATGATGCCGACTTGATCGTGGTGGATAAGCTTTTTGATATGCTACTGGATTTGGTTTGCCAGTATTTTACTGAGGATTTTCGCATCGATGTTCATCAGGGATATTGACCTGAATTTTTCTTTTTTTGTTGTGTCTCTGCCAGGTTTTTGTATCAGGATGATGCTGGCCTCATAAAATGAATTAGGGAGGATTCCCTCTTTTTCTGTTGTTTGGAATAGTTTCAGAAGGAGTGGTAGCCAGCTCTTCTTTGTACCTCTGGTAGAATTCCGTTGTGAATCTATGTGGTTCTGGACTTTTTTTTAATTGGTAGGCTATTAATTACTGCCTCAATTGCAGAACTTGTTATTGGTCTATTCAGGGATTTAACTTCTTTCTGGTTTAGTCTTGGGAGTGTGTATGTGTCCAGGAATTTATCCATTTCTTCTAGATTTTCTAGTTTGTTTGCATAGAGATTTTTATAGTATTCTCTGATGGTAGTTTTTGTTTCTGTGGGAACAGTGGTGATATCCCCTATATCATTTTTTATTGCATCTATTCAATTCTTCTCTCTTTTCTTCTTTATTAGTCTGGCTAGTGGCGCCTATCTATTTTGTTAATCTTTTTCAAAAACCAGCTCCTGGATTCACTGATTTTTTTTGAAGAGTTTTTCATGCCTCTATCTCCTTCAGTTTTGGTCTTAGTTATTTCTTGTCTCCTGCTAGCTTTTGAATTTGTTTGCTCTTGCTTCTCTAGTTTTTTAAATTGTGATATTAGGGTGTCGATTTTGCATCTTTCCCACTTTCTCCTGTGGGCATTTAGTGCTATAAATTTCCCTCTAAACACTGCTTTAGCTGTGTCCCAGAGATTCTGGTACATTGTGTCTTTGTTCTCATTGGTTTCAAAGAACTTATTTATTTCTGCCTTCATTTCATTATTTACCCAGTAGTCACTCAGGAGCAGGTTATTCAGTTTTCATGTAGTTGTGTGATTTTGAGTGAGTTTCGTAATCCTGAGTTCTAATTTGATTTCATGGTGGTCTGGGAGACTATTTGTTATGATTTCCGTTCTTTTGCATTTGCTGAAGAGTGTTTTACTTCTAATTATGTGGTTGATTTTAGAATAAGTGCTATGTGGTGCTGAGAAGAATGTATATTCTGTTGATTTGGGGTGGGGAGGGAACAGGCAACCTACAGAATGGGAGAAAATTTTTGCAATCCATCCATCTGACAAAAGGCTAATATGTTTATTGCAGCACAATTCACAATAGCAAAGACTTGGAATCAACCCAAATGCCCATCAATGTTAGACTGGATAAAGAAAATGTGGCACATATACACCATGGAATACCATGCAGCCATAAAAAAGAATGAATTCATGTCCTTTGGGGGGACATGGATGAAGTTGGAAACCATCATTTTCAGCAAACTAATACAGGAACAGAAAACCAAACACCACATATTCTCACTCATAAGTGGGAGTTGAACAATGAGAACACATGGTCATAGGGAGGGGAATATCACACACCAGGGCCTGTCGGGGGGTGGGAGATAAGGGGAGGGATAGCATTAGGAGAAATACCTAATGTAGGTAACGGGTTGATGGGTGCAGCAAACCACCGTGGCACATGTATACCTATGTAACAAACCAGCACATTCTGTATATGTATCCCAGAACTTAAAGTATAATAAAAAAAGAAAATAAAAGAAACTTCATTGTTCTACAATTTTTGAAACTTAATATAGCTGAATCTCCTCATTCTATAGGATGGTGAATATCAATTTTAAAAATCACTAAATCTAAAAGGTAAAATTTACTTTTACCTTTATAGTGGTTTGGCCTTCTTCCACTTAGGTTGTTTTTGGGAAAACTTTAATTCCTATACTATTTCAGGAAGGGATGAATGGCTTGGGAATTGAAGGAACATGTGTCTTTTAAGTTCTGTTATAATGTGCAATGAAGCATGTACTCACTTCATAAGCATACTTTATAATGTCCTGGGATTCTATAGCCTGACTAAAATTTTACTAGCAAATAATTATATATTATTGACATTTTTTGGTCTGTTGTTGAATACCTAATTATGGGATCATAGAGAAATCACCCAGCTGCTTCAGATATCCAGCAACTCCACTCATTCACCTACTCATCCGCTTACTACCCATTCACCTGTCCATTCACCTGTCCACCTATACGCTCAGACCCTCACATGTCCAACTTTCCACCCACCCATTCAGTCACATGTCCATCACATATCCACCTACCCATCCATCCACATGGTTATTCCTTTATATATTATTTTGTTCAACAATATTTACATGATGTTGTTTCTTTGTAAACAAACAGCAAAAGAAAAATTACCACATTATGTGTTTTACTCTACAACCTACCTTAAACTCACAGGTTAGTGTCCTAATACACTTCCTTATGCACTACAGTCTCAATGTGTAAAGAATAGTTATTTCAAGGGTGGATGTTAAACAATGGCCAGGATGATGCAAGTGTAGGGAGAGAAGTGTGCCACCTGTCAGCTGAGATCTAAGCTGTTCAACGTATCTCCTCAACCTGATGTTCTTAATCCTTCTTTCCATGAAGGATTCATTCAGTCCTTTCCTATCATATATCCTGGCATTCCCTTTTGTGCCAACGAATCTGAGCTGCTTGAAATTGCCTAAACTATGCCTTTGATTATACTGTTTCCTCTGTCTGGTTTGCATTTCCTGTCCATCCTGTATGTCTAGTTCATAGCCAGTCCATTTCTTTCCTCTCTAAAGTTTACCACGTCTGCTTGCCCCTGATTTGTCACCCACACTTCTCTTGTGATGCTCCGCACTTTTGACCTGTGGTCTAGTTATTTATGGGGATGTCCAGTTTCTCCTATTAGACACAAATCCCCCTGGAAAAATGAGGCCTGCACTTGATTTATCATTGCCTCCTTCACAGAACCTCATGCAGGGCATTCAGTAAATATTTCTGGAATGAATCAATCATCTATACTTCTGATTGAATGAAGACTTTCAATGTGCTGATTTCATGAGTAACTGAGGAGTTTGAGGCTAAAAAATATCCAGTGCCTATAAAATTCTTATCTAACTGTATGAGTGGATTATAGTTGGTGAATCTTTTGTAAAGTATTTTGCAATACCTTCACCTGAGGATGTTAGTATGTTTCAACGTGACGTTATAGTCTTGATTTAATTAAAGAATTGACTTTCTGGAGTGTAAGCTAATAAAATGTCTTTACTCTTAGACATACTAATTCTTACACTATTTGTTTTTCTCTCTAAAACTTTCCTTCTATTATTCACCAACTCAATGTCAAACTTGTAAAGAATCACCTAGATTTGTTGTTTGGAACTTACGATCCAGTGACAATTTTCACTCTTTTTTTTTTTTTTTTTTTTTGAGACAGAGTCTCACTTTGTCTCCCAGGTTGGAGTGCAGTGGCACAATCTCAGCTCCCTGCAATGTCCACCTCCCAGGTTCAAGCAATTCTCCTGCCTCAGCCCCCTGAGTAGCTGGGATTACAGGTGCATACCACCATGCCAGGCTAATTTTTGTATTTTTAGTAGAGACAAGAGTTTTGCCATGTTGCCCAGGCTGGTCTTGAACTCCTGATGTCAGATGATCCACCCGCCTTGGCCTCCCAAAGTGCTGGGATTACAGGCGTGAGCCACTGCGCCTGGCCAATTTTCACTCTTATCTTTGGCTTTCAGATCATGTTGAGGATGCATCAGCAAAATTCTGGCCTACCTTTTTTTTTTTATTTAAGAAAATGATTATAGCTCTTGCTGTTGCGTTCATTACTTTACATCATCCCAAACACTACCTGAATTCTCAATAATTATTATATGAAGTAGAAGAGAAAAGAGGTGAAGTGAGGCGAGGCGAGGAGAAGAGAGAAGAGAATGAATTGGCTGGTAGCTCAAAATAAGAGCCTAGAGAATTTTCTCAAGCCTGAAGACAAGAATGAATTTGTAAACACATATTTTTACAATAACATATTTTTTAAAAATGTAGTCTAATACTTTTCAGGCCCTCATCTTAGTGCCTTTGCTAATTTGCATGATTGTGTTGAGGTAGACCTAAATTTTATCTTAGTTCTTCCCATTCTTCCTTTATCATCAAAATCTTAAAATTTTAAAATGACAACTTTGAAAATTATAGAGTATCCACATTTTTACTCTGAATTGTTACAAGAAAATATAAAAAGCATGTTAACATTTATTCAGTTGTCCATGTAAATTTACCTGGACCTTTTCACCGAAAGTGGAATTGGCAAGCTCTTAGGGATAGAGCCGCTTACACAAATGCCTAGGATCTCCTAGCATCCTTACTCAGTTACAAGACTGGTGCTCAGCATCTTAAATATGCTTAATCAGCCCTGTCAACTGAATGGACCCTTTTTATGCTAGAGAGAATTTCATGTTGATGACAATGAATAATAGTATTTAACATTTATATGGAATCTTCCCATGACCCACAGGTCCTCTCCATGGTACTCCTCATGTTGGGATCACTCTTGTTTCTCTATTATGGCCATGCTTGCATTGCCTTTAGGTTAGGGCTGTGGCCTTGGACTGTCTGACCACCAGGATTGGAGTTGTTGTAGCTATAGGCACCAGAGATTTTTACCCCCTTATTAAAGAGGAGCAATAATAATAATAATAATAATAATAATAATAAGCTCGTGTCAGCCAAACATAGTAGTTTTCCCTCTCTGGGAGCCTTGAGCAGTTTAGTAGACAAAGCTTTGAATATACTTTTTAATTTCCAACACCTCTGGAGGTTACTTTTCCTTCAGTACTTACAAACGGGTCCTGCAGATACCTACTGAAGTCCTATCTGGTCTGGCTGCTTTCAAAAGCCTCCCTTGACACTGGCATCCTGCAGTGGAAGGCCCTCCTTTTCATATCCTCCCCACTCTCACCGTTGGATGCCCAGGACTGAGTGCCACTGAGCAGTATCCCCGGAGGGACACTCCCCAACCTTGCATTTAATCGCTTCCCTTTGTGGGACATTTCTGCTGACTGTAGATATCTGCCC
Source organism: Homo sapiens (assembly GCF_000001405.40). Lineage (NCBI taxonomy): Eukaryota > Metazoa > Chordata > Mammalia > Primates > Hominidae > Homo > Homo sapiens. The sequence goes on along the minus strand of NC_000004.12, from coordinate 81,539,177 downwards.
CTTGGTCTTCCCCTACCAAATCCTTTCACCCTGCTGAGGCCTTGGAGGCAAGAAGGACCAGGGCAACTATCAGTGCTTTCTCCTTTAGGGACCTGTTCCATCATTTCTAACGTCATTTTCTTTGGAAAAGATAATTTGCATCCCAAACAAATAACTCTCCAATAAATTTGGAACACAGACTGTTTGATTTGAGGGTTGTGTGTCCTTACATTGAGGAAGTGCAGTTTCATGTACATACGACTCTCTGATTGCTGAGTGAGCACTTAACATTAAAAAAAAAATTAATTCTCTGAGGACAGGAAACTGCAGGCAGCTGCTTTCCTATCCATTCAAGAATCACTTTGCTCCTTTATAGCAAAAGAGCTGAACTATGAAATGAACTTGGGGTTTGGATTGGAGCTAGGTATTTTAGCAGCCATTCAAGAGTCTTTTTGGTGGTATGTCCATCAAATAGCAAGTTTGTGAAGCACTGCTATAGAAGTGCTTAGTCTTGTTTTTTGAAGATTAGAGCAGGATAGAGAGAGAGCAAGAATCCAGAGTTACATATAATTTTTCCTTGCAGCTAGAGAAACTGAGGCAATGAAAAGAAGAACATTATGCAAAGATAAAGAGGGGGGTCTGCAATTTTGAGAACATGCTCTTTATTTATTCTGTCATTTCCAGGAAGGTAGTTGAAAGCCAATCCTATTTTTAGATGAGTTTAGTTGTCTGGGATATTTATTATTATTACCACTCCATTATAGGGAAAGGTGGTGTGTTTTAGGGGTAAGGTTAATTACCAGACTTCTATCAAAGACAAGATTTTAAGAAAAAAATTAGATTTATTTCCTTATAAATTTCAACAAGTTCAGTTCTTTTTTTTATTTTTTTATTTTATTATTATTATACTTTAAGTTTTAGGGTACATGTGCACAATGTGCAGGTTAGTTACATATGTATACATGTGCCATGCTGGTGTGCTGCACCCATTAACTCGTCATTTAGCATTAGATATATCTCCTAATGCTATCCCTCCCCCCTCCCCCCACCCCACAACAGTCTCCACAGTGTGATGTTCCCTTTCCTGTGTCCATGTGTTCTCATTGTTCAATTCCCACCTATGAGTGAGAACATGCGGTGTTTGGTTTTTTGTCCTTGCGATAGTTTACTGAGAATGATGATTTCCAATTTCATCCACGTCCCTACAAAGGACATGAACTCATCATTTTTTATGGCTGCATAGTATTCCATGGTGTATATATGCCACATTTTCTTAATCCAGTCTATCATTGTTGGACATTTGGGTTGGTTCCAAGTCTTTGCTATTGTGAATAGTGCTGCAATAAACATACGTGTGCATGTGTCTTTATAGCAGCATGATTTATATTCCTTTGGGTATATACCCAGTAATGGGATGGCTGGGTCGAATGGTATTTCTAGTTCTAGATCCCTGAGGAATCGCCACACTGACTTCCACAATGGTTGAACTAGTTCACAGTCCCACCAACAGTGTGAAAGTGTTCCTGTTTCTCCACATCCTCTCCAGCACCTGTTGTTTCCTGACTTTTTAATGATCGCCATTCTAACTGGTGTGAGATGGTATCTCATTGTGGTTTTGATTTGCATTTCTCTGATGGCCAGTGATGGTGAGCATTTTTTCGTGTGTTTTTTGGCTGCATAAGTGTCTTCTTTTGAGAAGTGTCTGTTCATGTCCTTTGCCCACTTTCTGATGGGGTTGTTTGTTTTTTTCTCGTAAATTTGTTTGAGTTCATTGTAGATTCTGGATATTAGCCCTTTGTCAGATGAGTAGGTTGTGAAAATTTTCTCTCATTTTGTAGGTTGCCTGTTCACTCTGATGGTGGTTTCTTTTGCTGTGCAGAAGCTCTTGAGTTTAATTAGATCCCATTTGTCAATTTTGGCTTCTGTTGCCATTGCTTTTGGTGTTTTAGACATGAAGTCCTTGCCCATGCCTATGTCCTGAATGGTAATGCCTAGGTTTTCTTCTAGGGTTTTTATGGTTTTAGGTCTAACGTTTAAGTCTTTAATCCATCTTGAATTGATTTTTGTATAAGGTGTAAGGAAGGGATCCAGTTTCAGCTTTCTACATATGGCTAGCCAGTTTTCCCAGCACCATTTATTAAATAGGGAATCCTTTCCCCATTGCTTGTTTTTCTCAGGTTTGTCAAAGATCAGATAGTTGTAGATATGCGGCGTTATTTCTGAGGGCTCTGTTCTGTTCCATTGATCTATATCTCTGTTTTGGTACCAGTACCATGCTGTTTTGGTTACTGTAGCCTTGTAGTATAGTTTGAAGTCAGGTAGCGTGATGCCTCCAGCTTTGTTCTTTTGGTTTAGGATTGACTTGGCGATGTGGGCTCTTTTTTGGTTCCATATGAACTTTAAAGTAGTTTTTTCCAATCTGTGAAGAAAGGCATTGGTAGCTTGATGGGGATGGCATTGAATCTATAAATTACCTTGGGCAGTATGGCCATTTTCATGACATTGATTCTTCCTACCCATGAGCATGGAATGTTCTTCCATTTGTTTGTATCCTCTTTTATTTCCTTGAGCAGTGGTTTGTAGTTCTCCTTGAAGAGGTCCTTCTCGTCCCTTGTAAGGTGGATTCCTAGGTATTTTATTCTCTTTGAAGCAATTGTGAATGGGAGTTCACTCATGATTTGGCTCTCTGTTTGTCTGTTATTGGTGTATAAGAATGCTTGTGATTTTTGTACATTGATTTTGTATCCTGAGACTTTGTTGAAATTGCTTATCAGCTTAAGGAGATTTTGGGCTGAGACAGTGGGGTTTTCTAGATATACAATCATGTCATCTGCAAACAGGGACAATTTGACTTCCTCTTTTCCTAACTGAATACCCTTTATTTCCTTCTCCTGCCTGATTGCCCTGGCCAGAACTTCCCACACGATGTTGAATAGGAGTGGTGAGAGAGGGCATCCCTGTCTTGTGCCAGTTTTCAAAGGGAATGCTTCCAGTTTTTGCCCATTCAGTATGATATTGGCTGTGGGTTTGTCATAGATAGCTCTTATTATTTTGAGATATGTCCCATCAATACCTAATGTATTGAGAGTTTTTAGCATGAAGGCTTGTTGAATTTTGTCAAAGGCCTTTTCTGCATCTATTGAGATAATCATGTGGTTTTTGTTTTTGGTTCTGTTTACATGCTGGATTACATTTATTGATTTGCGTATATTGAACCAGCCTTGCATCCCAGGGATGAAGCCCACTTGATCATGGTGGATAAGCTTTTTGATGTGCTGCTGGATTTGGTTTGCTAGTATTTCATTGAGGATTTTTGCATCAATGTTCATCAAGGATATTGGTCTAAAATTCTCTTTTTTGGTTGTGTCTCTGCCCAGCTTTGGTATCAAGGTGATGCTGGCCTCATAAAATGAGTTAGGGAGGATTCCCTCTTTTTCTATTGATTGGAGTAGTTTCAGAAGGAATGGTACCAGTTCCTCCTTGTACCTCTGGTAGAATTCGGCTGTGAATCCTTCTGGTCCTGGACTCTTTTTGGTTGGTAAGCTATTGATTATTGCCACAATTTCAGAGCCTGTTATTGGTCTATTCAGAAAGTCAACTTCTTCCTGGTTTAGTCTTGGGAGGGTGTATGTGTCGAGGAATTTATCCATTTCTTCTAGATTTTCTAGTTTATTTGCGTAGAGGTGTTTGTAGTATTCTCTGATGGTAGTTTGTATTTCTGTGGGATTGGTGGTGATATTCCCTTTATCATTTTTTATTGTGTCTATCTGATTCTTCTGTCTTTTTTTCTTTATTAGTCTTGCTAGCGGTCTATCAATTTTGTTGATCCTTTCAAAAAACCAGCTCCTGGATTTATTAATTTTTTGAAGGGTTTTTTGTGTCTCTATTTCCTTCAGTTCTTCTCTGATTTTAGTTATTTCTTGCCTTCTGCTAGCTTTTGAGTGTGTTTGCTCTTGCTTTTCTAGTTCTTTTAATTGTGATGTTAGGGTGTCAACTTTGGATCTTTCCTGCTTTCTCTTGTGGGTGTTTAGTGCTATAAATTTCCCTCTACACACTGCTTTGAATGTGTCCCAGAGATTCTGGTATGTTGTGTCTTTGTTCTTGCTGGTTTCAAAGAACATCTTTATTTCTGCCTTCATTTCGTTATGTACCCAGTAGTCATTCAGGAGCAGGTTGTTCAGTTTCCATGTAGTTGAGCGGTTTTGAGTGAGTTTCTTAATCCTGAGTTCTAGTTTGATTGCACTGTGGTCTGAGAGACAGTTTGTTATAATTTCTGTTCTTTGATATTTGCTGAGGAGAGCTTTACTTCCAACTATGTGGTCAATTTTGGAATAGGTGTGGTGTGGTGCTGAAAAAAATGTATATTCTGTTGATTTGGGGTGGAGAGTTCTGTAGATGTCTGTTAGGTCCGCTTGGTGCAGAGCTGAGTTCAATTCCTGGGTATCCTTGTTAACTTTCTGTCTCGTTGATCTGTGTAATGTTGACAGTGGGGTGTTCAAGTCTCCCATTATTAGTGTGTGGGAGTCTAAGTCTCTTTGTAGGTCACTCAGGACTTGCTTTATGAATCTGGGTGCTCCTGTATTGGGTGCATATATATTTAGGATAGTTAGCTCTTCTTGTTGAATTGATCCCTTTACCATTATGTAATGGCCTTCTTTGTCCCACAATATCATATCCAGCCAAACTAAGCTTCACAGGTGAAGGAGAAATAAAATACTTTACAGACAAGCAAATGCTGAGAGATTTTGTCACCACCAGGCCTGCCCTAAAAGAGCTCCTGAAGGAAGCACTAAACATGGAAAGGAAGAACCGGTACCAGCCACTGCAAAATCATGCCAAATTGTAAAGACCATCAAGACTAGGAAGAAACTGCATCAACTAACGAGCAAAATAACCGCTAACATCATAATGACAGGATCAAATTCACACATAACAATATTAACTTTAAATGTAAGTGTACTAAATCCTCCAATTAAAAGACACAGACTGGCAAATTGGATAAAGAGTCAAGACCCATCAGTGTGCTGGATTCAGGAAACCCATCTCATGTGCAGAGACACACATAGGCTCAAAATAAAAGGATGGAGGAAGATCTACCAAGCAAATGGAACACAAAAAAAGGCAGGGGTTGCAATCCTAGTCTCTGATAAAACAGACTTTAAACCAACAAAGATCAACAAGTTCAGTTCTTATTGTTGGACACAAGCAAAACAATATAACACAAAATTAAGAATATATTTAAGCTTTGAAACATAATAAAACCCATCCCCTGGCTTAAGAACTAGAATATTAACAACACTATGGAAACTTCTTGTGTGTTCTTCCCTAATCTCCTCCACTTTCTCCCCAATCTCCACACAGAGGTAACTACACTCCTGGATTTTGTGTTTGTCTTCTCTATGGCCTAATTTTAATAGTTTTATCATATAAGCATGTATTACTAGTCAACGTAATATTAAATTTTGGCTAGGGCAGTGGCTCATACTTGTAATCTTAACACTTTATGAGACTGAGGCAGTAGAATCACTTGAGGCAAGGAATTTGAGACCAGCTAGACCCAGTCTCTACAAAAAAAAAAAAAAAAAAAAAAAAAAAAAAATTGAAAATTAGCTGGGCCTAGTGGCACACATGTGTAGTTCTAGCTACTTGGGAAGTTGAGGTGGGAAGATCCCTTGAGCCCAGGAGTTTGAAGTTATAGTGAGCTATGATCATACAAATGCCCTTCAGCCTGGGCAACAGAATGAGACCCTATCTCTGAAACAATGAAAGAAAAATAGGTTTTGCTTGTTTTTTGAGTGGCATAGAAATGGTATCTTGTTGTATGCATTTTTCTGTATTTTGGTTTTTCATTCCAATATTATGTTTCTAAGATTCATCTATATTGTTGTGTAAGCTGTAATTTATTCATATTCACTGCTATATAATATTCCATTATGTGACTAGATCAAAATTTATTAGTGACTCTTGACAGTAACATTTTGGGTATGCGAAGGAAAAATAATCAATAATAGGCTGATGCACTTGTCCAGGAATTTTTCTAGGTCAGTGGATTTCAATTTGTTTTTACTGTTATAAAAAATGAATACATTTTGGCTGAGCGTGGTGGCTCATGCCTATAATTCCAGCACTTTGGGAGGCCGAGGCCGGCAAATCACCTGAAGTTAGGAGTTCGAGACTAGCCTGGCCAACATGCTGAAACCCCGTCTCTGTTAAAAATACAAAAATTACCTGGGCATGGTGGCGGGCACCTGTAATCCCAGCTTCTCAGGAGGCTGAGGCAGGAGAATCGCTTGAACTGAGGAGGCAGAGGTTGCAGTGAGCTGAGATTGCACCTTTGCACACCAGCCTGGGTGACAAGAGTGAAACTCCATTTCAAAAAAAAAATATATGTTTTATCCCAGTACACATACATACATAAATAATTTTAACAAAGTTTAATAAAATCATAATATTTTTACTGTGTATGAAATACTCTAATATTTCTATTCTTGTCCATTTTTACTTTGTAGTGTTTAACTGGCATTTGGTGAGGCCCACCATATTGATTTCTTTACCCTATGTATTGCAAACCACAATTTGAAAAACACTACTTTAAGTCTTACAGTCAGGAATGAATTACAAGGTCAGAAAATATAGCATGCTGGCCAGGCTTATGCCTGTAACCTCAGCACTTTAGGAGGCCAAAGTGGGCAGAACACTTGACAGGCCACCAGTCTGGGCAACATGGCAAAACCCCATCTCTACAAAAAAGAAAAAAAAAAATTAGCTAGGCATGGTGGCGCATGCCTGTAGTCCCAGCTATGGAGGAGGCAGAGGTGGGAGGCAGTGAGCTGATATTGCACCTCTGCACTCCAGGCAGGTGACAAAAAAAAAAGTATAGCATGCTTATTTTTAATATTCTTAATTTTATTGGGACTAGGAAAAAACTGTGTAGTAAAATCCATAAAATATTTATGCACAGTGGTTTTTATTTATTATGATCACTATGATTATAAGATCTTGTCCCCCATATTAGTGAAGCTCCTCAATGAGAAAAAAAAAAGTCCTGCATATTTAGGAGTCTTTTTATCTAAACTGAATTTTGAATAAGTCCAGCACAAGATAACATAATTCTTCAAATTACTTTGGAAAGTTAAATTTTGTCATCATAAGGAGAAAAATACATTTTTGTTTTCTTTGTGATAGGAAATAGTTGGTGACTTTCTAGGTTAGGAATAAGAAAGCTAAACACCCACAGTCCTTACACCTGAGCATCACCTCCCCTGTGACTTTCTAACTCTAAGCAGCAGACAAGAGGTACTGATAACAGATCTACACCCACCTCTCTTTGACTGCATAAAGACGCTTTAGGAAAAAATTCCATATTCTAACTTCTTGAGGGGAACATTGGAGAAAAGTCTCTTCCATATAACCTCAAAAGCAAAGAAGTCCTAAGAGCTCCTTTTTAGACTTTATCAGAGCTGATGGAGATTGACCATTTTCCACTCCAAAATACTGGTAACTTCAAGCCCCAAGGGACAACATTCCTTCCTGTTATGAAAGAATTCTCCAAAGCTGGGGGCATCTGGGTACGAGGAATCCTCCTTCAAAGAGAGCAGAGTTCAAAGAACCTATTCTGCTGCTGCTTTCCCCTTGCTCCTCTCACACCTAGTGTGAGGAATGGGTAGATAAATTTAGGATTCTCAATGAAGTGCCTGAGAATTTAGAATATTCTGTTTGTCTCTAGACCCGCTCTTTCTTGCTTATGAAATGGAATTATTCTATATTAGAAGAACTTCTAGTTTCATCCCTAAGTAAAGCAGGAAATATTTTTAGGATTTATTTAAAAATTTTTATAATTATGATAACATTGAGTTAGGCTTACATAATAAATTAGTGTCTACCTTTTTAGCCTTCCTTTCTTTCTTTGGAGACTAGTCAAAAAGCTAGAAATTTTTCAATTGCTGAGTCTTTAAACAGATTTTTAATTTTTTATTATCTTTCTTCTTTTTATATGATTTTATTAAGTAGTTTTGATCAGTGTTTACATTTCTCTTTATTTTTGTTTGTGAATTATTAGCACCCTTACAATTTTTACTTAAGAAACAATGTTTATGTAAGAAACAGTTTACATTTTGGAAAGAGTAGCAATTAACTGTGAGAGCTCTGAAGCCAAACTTCTTGGGTTCAAAGCCCAGGTCTGTCATTTACTAGTTGTGTGACCTCAGGCAATTTAGACATTTGTGCCTAAGTTTCCTTATCTATAATATGGAAATAATTTTATCTTCTTCATGGGTTTTTCGTAGCATTAAGCAGGTTGACACATGTAAGTACACAAACCAGTACCACATGAATAGGAAAGGCTCAATCCGTGTTAATTATTCTTATAACTGTCATCATTTCTACATAACTACACAGTTATTCAATATGACAACCATGGCCTCCCTCTTACTGCCTAAGTACCTAAGATTGATTATTTGTTTATAAATATGTTTAAAACCGACACGTTATTTTTCCTCTCTGGGGAAGTATATTATCTAGTATAACATTCTGGTGAAAATTCAGCTTTGCTTAGTTGTCAAATAAGATGAAGCATATTAAATACTTTGCAAACCATAAGGTACTATACAAATGTCACATATTATAATACGTACTACTAGGAAAATTTCTTATTTTGTGGATGCTATTATTCAAGAGACATCTTATCTTTCCTTTTGGAAATAAATTTGAGGTGTTTTTCCGATAAAGAATAATCTTTATGGAGCCTCAAAGATCTTAGACCAAGATTTGTTGATGACAGTTTTCGTTATTGGGATAAAGATTTAGATTGTATGAGATTTAAACACATTTGGAGTTTCAGCTTTTCCTTCAACAAAGATATGAACAGGTTGTTGTCCTTTGTTTATCAAAAAAGCAAAGCATTCTTGGTTGCAGGAATTTCAAAACGAATGTTAAATTAAATAGGTTCCCAGAAACTTCAACTCTCAGACCATTTGATGCATACTTCATTTAGCTAACTGTAACTAATTGCCTATTTTAAGGAATTTCCTGGGAAAGAGACATTCAATATGCAGACCAACATTCAATTGCTGGATGTTGTTTCTTAGACCATCAACACGTAGTATTCTCTCCTTCATCAATTTCCTCTTGTATACACAATGGAAGTCTCCCTTAAATAAGAATTGATCATAATATATACTATCCTTTTCAAGCTGTCAGTCCTACTGTCTGTCTTTTTGTTATATCAAAGCATAATGTTATCACATCTAAGAGTATTTCCTTTGTGTATGTTTGCTTCCCCAACTAAATTTTAAGCCACTGAATCAAGAATCATCTTATCTTATTCATAATCTCTTTATAACAGTCAACAAAGTGATAAGCATATAATAAATGCTCAGTGAGTACTGATTTGATTGATTGATTAATTGAAATTCTCATGAGCCTACTTTAGAATTCAATGAGATAAAGCCTGTATTTTCCCCAATATGAAACAAGACCTCATGACAGAAATCTTTTTACTTTTTCTCAACCCCTTCTACAGGATTCTCGAATACATCCATTACTTGCAGATATAGCAGTATGAAGGAGAAAGAACTCCAGCAGGAGTTAAAATGTCTGGGTTTCAGTAATTAACTTAAGCAAGGAATTTAATATCCCTGAGCTTCAGTTTTCTCATCCATAAAATGGGAAAAATAATGTCTGCCTCTGTATTTTGAAGATTGGAGGAAATATGTAAGATGCCTAACACAGAGCCTTGTTGGGGTGCAATAAAAGGTAGGCTGCTAAATACCTACTTAAGTGTAGGTGCCAATTTGATTTATAGCTGGTTTTCTTAAGGACTCACTATGCCCAAAACCAAGTTGATGACCTCTTCCAGATCCCAAACCTGGTCTTTCTTCAGGGAATGGCACCATCATCCATCCACTTACACAAACCCAAATCTAGAATTCTCTGACACTTCTCATACCCTCTTTCACACTTCCAGTTTGCAAACCAGTGCAAACTCTTTATCTCCTCGCCTTCCGCAACCACCAGATTAGTTGATTCTATCACCTTCTCTCACTGGGTCCAATCACTATACCTCTATCTAAGCTTCCTGTATCCCTCATGAGTGGCTCCAGTCTGCTCATATGCAAGGATGGCCTTCCTTTATGAATGGCAAATCTGATCACATTATTCCCTCGCTGCCTATCACTTTCAGAAAAACCAATACCTGAATCCTTCAATTGGTGAATAAGATGGTATGATCTGCTTCATACTCTGCAGGATATTTTCCATTTACCCCTCTAGGTCCACTTTATCCTTCTTCACCTTGCTCTGTGCCATGGGAGCTGATCCTTCTAGGCGGCATCAAAGAGCTTCCTCACTCTCTGACTTCCAATTAGTTTGATTAAAGAACAGTGGGAGATGGGAAGGTGGTGGAAGATTATAGTATGGTGTTTATTCCCCTGCATCTCCTCCTGCTGTCTAGCCTCAGCTTGACTGCATCTCTTTACAGAAGGTCACAGCTACTGTTTGGTGTTGATGGCAGTGGTGGCCTGTCTGGAGCAGCCACTGCCATCATGCCAGCTGCAGTAAGAGAGGCATGGCTGGGGCTGCAGGCTCCATAGAGCTAGCAGGAGACTGAATAGGCAGAAGCCCTAACCCCTTCCAGGTTGGAGGGGGTGGGAACCCTGCCCTCCTGGGTACAGCTGCAGCCACCCAGCCAGGCTTCAGTCTCAGGCATCTCTGCACTCTCAAGGGCCAGGCCCCCCTTCCACTGTAGGCTCAGAAGTGCCTGCTCCTGCTGTCTGGCCTCTCCCTGCTCCTGGCACCAGCTCTGATTTCAGAGCAAAGTTGTGGCCAAGCCTAGGTGTTGTCACAATCTGGTTGGGTGCATACACACTTGGGGCAGCACTGACATGCCAGCACCCTGCTGCCTTGGTCCCCTCCGGACATTGGGTGCTGATGAGTACAGGAGGAAAGCTGAGGGGATGGTTTTGAACGGAACTGCAGGCACCTCTGCACACAAACAGCCTGGATGCTATGGGCACTGTGGATGGCAGGTTAATGGCAGCAGGAGGCAGACAGGCTCCTGGGTGGCAAGGGGCAGATCCCTGGTGAAACCCCACCTTCGGGCCAGGGATGGCTTGAGGCCTGGGGGCCAGGCTGCCAGTTCCACAGACCAGAGTGAGAAATTATGGTGCTTTTTCCCTGGCTCTCTCATGGCTACCCAATCAGCACATACTTCTTCCCTTCTGAAGCCCATAAAAACCCCAGACTCAGCCAGACTTGGGCAGATGATGGGACAACCTGCCTGCAGAGAGGAGCTACCCACTGGTGATCTCCTCTCTGCTGAGAGCTGAACACTGGTCAGGAGGCCCCTGCCTGCAGAGAGGAGCTGCCCACTGCAGGTCTCCTCTGAGCTGTTCCATCTCTCAATAAAACACCTCTTCACCTTGCCCACACTCCAGTTGTCTGTGTTCCTCATTCTTCCTGGACACAGAACAAGAACTCAGGAACTGCAGAATGGTGGGGCTGAAAGAGCTGTAACACAAACAAGGCTGAAACAGTCCCCTTGCTCACCATGTTGCAGGTGATGAGAGGAGAGAAGAGAGAAGGAGAGAATTGCTGTGGCCCTTCAGAGAGCCCAGATCTAAAAGCTCCCTGAGCCAGAGCTGTGGCACCTTCTTTGAGGCTCTGTGTTTCCTGGCACCTCCAAGCTTCTGGAGGACACTGCATTCCCCAGTGCCAGCCATGGAAGATGCTTGCCATATGACTGGTCCAGCCACAGCCTCACAGGGAGCCAACACCCCTGCCGGCATCTGGAGGTGCCCACCTCACCACAGTCAGCATCCCTGAATGTGCACAGTAGCTGGATCCCACGCTCACTCACTCACACACCCCTTGCTGCTCTGTGCTTGGCTTGCCCTTGACAGGCATGGGATCCGGGCCAGTAGTGCTAGCCAAGCACCACTTCTGCTAGGCTGAGTGGGCAGAATGAGCTCCGCAGGCCCAAGCAAAACTTGGGCAAAGGTGCCATGGGCCACAGAGGTTTCCAGCCAGAAAAGTGACACCCCAAAGATCCTGTGACAGTGTTATAGCTGGTTTTCTTCAATACTCACTATCCCCAAAACCAAGTTCATTTCTAGTCACAAAGCTGGAAATATTCAAATTTCTAATTCTTTAAATAGATTTTTAATTTTTCATTATCTTTCTTTCTTTGTATATAATTTCATTAAGTATTTTTGATCAGTATTCGCATTTCCCTTTATTTTTGTTTGTAAATGGTTGGCAGCTTGACAATATTTACTTAAGAAACAATGTTTATGTAAGAGACAATTTACATTTTGGAAAAAGCCTCCTTACATTTTGGCTGCACCTCTTTATAGAAGGTCACAGCTACCATGTGATGTCTCTTTCCTATTACCATTTTCTCTGATAAATGCTCCCGCTTTCCATTTTGATGTCTAGGCATAGAAGCTTTCCATTCTTGCTCATCCTGGAGTACTGTTCATTCCTTGTTCCTTTCCCTTAACTATTCAGACATCATTGCAAAGAGCCCCTTTATTAAACTGTCCTCAGTTGCCCTATTTGAGTGTGCCCTCTGTTTTCTGCTAGCTCCTGATGGATCGAGCCATTCTTCTCTCCTGGAGCCACTGACCTTTCAATTCTTCAAATATTCCATGCTTCCTTCCATCTCGACCTAGATGAATCTTTCTCTTTTCCTAGTTAATGTTAACTCATCCCACAAATCTCAGCTCAAATATCACTTTCTGATGGAAACTTTTCCTGACTCCCAAAGTAGGTCAGGTAACTTAGTAATATGCTTTCCTACTTCTGTGTAATTTTCCACAGCCCTTGTAATAAGATAAATACATCACTTAATTGAAGTAGGTCTCTGCTATGAATAGGGGAATCATGTCTGTTTTGCTCAGCACCACACCACAGTCCTTAACACAGTGTCTGGTATATGTGGTGCTCAGAACATACATGATAAAAGAATGAATACATTCAATTTGTTAGTCCCTAACTAGAGGTACAGGTGTATTCCAGTTGACCACATTTATCTCTTTATTTTGTGCGGCCATGTCCCATATGCTAATCACATTTGGGGCAAAGAGATTATTTTTACTATTTTAGCAAATCACAATTTCTAAAGCTAAGCATTTTAAAGTTCCATTATATTAAGAATTTCCTGGCTACCTCCTTGCTGTAAATGACTCTCCCTGTCTTCTTCCCATACTCAGCTGTTTTTATGTACCTCAGCCAATAGTTTTCCCCTTTCCGTTATCTCTTTTTTGTAGCCTGGAATGACTCCCTTCCTTCCCCTATCCATTGGGCTGAACCTTTCATCTCCTTCGAGGTTTTGCTCAATAGTTTCCTCAATGAAGTCTACTAATCATACTACTTAAAATCTTAGAAGCAACCCTCTCTCCTAATCCCCTGGACCTTGCTGTGTCTTTCGTTAACTGTTACCATCCTCTAACATTATTTGTATATTGACAATGCTTATTGTTTATTTTCTTTCTCCCCTAGTAAAATCTGTGTATTGCAAACACCTACAGCAGCGCCTGGCACATAGTGGGCATTCAGACATATTTGTTGAATGAATTATATTGGTATCCTTTTCTCAACTCTTGATCTGCCCATGCCTGTTCATTTACATGTACTCTTCTCCCACAAGGCAAAAGGCAATTATATATGTAAAGAGTCTCCCTTGTTCCTTCTCCCACCTAGGCAAAACTTTACGACACAAAAATTTTAAAAGAAGTCTCATGAGATTTAAAGGAACTACGCTTACCACACATAATTCTTAAATTTGTAATGAAGCAATGTGAACACAGTAAACATGCTTTTTGGATTAAATGTCCTGCACTCAGTAAATACTTTGTTATGAAAGCAATAAATTGAAGGCAAATTGTAATGAAAGTCCATAAAGGTGTAAGTGAAATGCTTAATCTCTATTTCCCAAGCAATTAATTTCTATCTCCATCTTATCTGCAAGTCACTTTAGAAATATCATATAAAAAGCAGATTTGTCATGTAATCTAGCAAAGGGAACTCCTTATGAATTTGTACTTTGGCCATTCTCTGTTATTTTTATCATTGATATGCAACATGATTAGTCAAGGCTCTGCAAAACTGAAAGAACCTTCTGAATTATTACACATGAAATTTTCAAAAGCATTTTAGGTCACATTTTATTTATTGAATATTGGTTATCCATGCCCTGTATACATGGTTACTCTCTTGCAACCATAATATTCCAACCAATCAATCCAACAGGAAATGTCTATTAAATAACTAGCATGTGCTCATCCTAGCATTGCTTTATTAACCAGAACACCACACCTCTGAGCATACTAAATGCTGAGAACTTGCTGTCTTAGTGACAACTATGAAATATCTGTTAGTCTGAAATTACTTTTATGCAGATGCCACTAAATGGCTGAAGAAAAGAGGGTGAAGGCTGGTTAACATTCATATCAGTTCTCATACCTTCATGACACTGCCTCTTCTCAGAGGCTTATACCTCCTTTCTGTGCATGATTATTCTTGTCAAAACTCTAATTGTTTTTTCCTCATTTAAGTGAAACATGGTAGAAAATTTTGCCTGAGATATATGTGTCTTTTTTCCTCTCATTTACATTATGTGTTAATAAAAGAGCAATTAGGAAGTACAAGGTTGAAGGGAGAAAAATTAATTCCCAATTATTTCGTATATTTCATCACTAAAGGTAACCACTGTTAATTGTAGCATTTATATTTTTTCATGTGTTTTTTTTTTTAACACACAATCACACACAACAGTGATCTGAAACTGTCAATAGTGGTAACTAGAAAAAGAACAGCTCAAGCTTATAAAAGTGACATCTATAAAAAACATACCAAAAAGAAAAAAAAAGAAAGAAAAAAAACCTAGCCTCTAGGGTAAAGGTTAACAACTGAACTGTCACTTAGTGTTGATGACTTGCTTTCTCCTAAGCTTAGAACTTTCAGGGAATGAGTTTATGATCCCAGGCAGCTTTCTCAGCAGAGGGGAGGGTGCCTAGTTAGACCTAATTACTACATTTTGTTTCACATTCCCACTTAAACAGCTAACCTTTTTGTCCAATAGGTCTGGACTCTGGCAACCATAGCTTGAACTGACTGCACTGTTCTTTCTCTAAATGGCCTTTTGTGTGTGGATAATGACCCCACTCTCTTGAATAGGGTTTCTCTCTACATGCTGTAGCTAAATGGAAAAAACAAAACAAAGAGAAACTGCAGTAAAATGGCCCATAATGGCCTCCTGGGATGGGGGTAGGCTAGACTCTCAGACTTTCACACTTTCCTTCTTCTAAAGTTTCGTAGAGAATAATGCTATACCTCAGAGCAGGGGGACTGCACCTTATGGGATTTTGGCCATGTTCTGGTTTGCGGTTTGAAAGACAAGCTGTCATGAAGTTAAAGGCTGCCTGGGTCTTCTGGGTGGAAATACTGCTCACTTCTTCATCCAGTTGACTGAATCAGAGCCTGCCTCAGAATAACTGCTCAGAAATAGGAATTTCTTCTTGGTCAACCCCAGGCTTTGAAGGGCCTTTGGTCATTCTTGCCCTTGTGCTACAGTTCTGCTGCGATAATCTGAATTTGCCATGTTCGTGGTGCTGGGAAATCAGATGAATGAAAGCTCTTAGAAACCCATCTCCTGACTCTACTTTATGTATCAAGGTTTAGAATTATCAGAGCAGAACCTGGTGTTTGCCCCTGTGGTCCCAGCTCCTTGGGAGGCTGAGGTGGGATGATCACTTGAGTCCAGGAGTTTGAGGCTGTAATGAGCTGTGGTTATTTCACAGTACTCCAGCCTGGATGACAGAGTGAGACCCTATCTCCATCTGTTAAAAAAAAAAAAAAAAAAAAAAAAAAGGTAAAATTATCAGAATGAACTTTTTTGTCCATTCGAGTAACAGGAGTTACAGTGTCAAAGCTTGCAAAACTTTAGGCCAGATTTTGACCCACCTATTTAACATTTCAAAATAATTAAAAGCATATGTACGTATCCCTGTAGTCATCATGGATTCCATTATCTCCATGGAACTTAAAGTAAGGTAATTTTAAGGTCTAAAGAAAATATGTGTTAGTGAAGCCTCCGTACCTAGTCTAATTGACTGACTACCATCTCCTCCACTGTGTCTTTTGGTTCTCCTCCCTTATGTAAGAGCACCTTGTAAATTATTGGACATTATATAAATACTAGTCAGTGTGAGCTAGTCACTCACCCTTTTCTCCTGTACTGAACTCCCTCCATTACACCACATTTACTCAGTACTTACTAATTCCATCCTACCCGTTTCTTCCACCTCATCCCCTGGGTATTTTAGTAGTTTCATTTAATGAAGTAATAACCCATAGTGGGTTAATAAAGGGCAGTTAGGGATGCTAGGGTACAGCCCTTTGAAGATTTTTAAGGTACTTTTCCAAGGTGATTTATTAACTCCTTTTGGGTGCCTGATCTTAGAAAAGGGATATGATAATACACATCTTCTTTACTCAAACTACTAAAGATATAGGTGTGGCATGTGTGTGTGTGTGTGTGTGTGTGTGTGTGTGTGTGTTTAGTATTTTTTAAGAACAGCCTCTGCATAAGCAGGAGAGGAAGAACTGGAGTGGAAACATGCACAGAGGAAACTGAGGAGATTGTTTTCTATTATTGACTAACCTTGTAAGGGGAGACAAATATTAGCTATTACCCTATATTAATTGAACATTAACTTAATATGACAATTTTTGTTTCATCACAAGAAATTCTGAATAGGTCTTCAGCATATTACAGTTTTACAAAATGCTATCTGTTTTAAAAATCAAGGAAAAATGAAGTTTGAAGAAAATTCAGAAGAGCAAACTTGTTCTCTACGAAGGTGTAGTCCAGTCATTTGTGTAGACTCCTAGTCTTCCCAGAAGATTTTTTGAGGCGAGTTCAGTTTTGCCCAATAGCTTTGGGCTGCAGCTGCTGAAGGTGAGAGTGGTACCAAAGAAAAATACTGACTGCCTTATAAACCTTGATTTTTACACATGGATGAAGTGCCTTTTGACTCTATTGAACTGATGTGATTTAGTGTTTATGATCCATACGAGAATCTGGAAGGTGATTAAAGTTTCTAACACTATAGATTGATATATTTTAGAGTAACACTCTTCCTCTTAAGTGCTCTTTGTTGGTCTATAGATGTGTTCTCATCAGTTGAACCATTTGCTAGTGGCCTGGATCAGTGCAGATAGGCTTGGAACACTTTCAGAGCAGAAGCTAAGTATCGTGAATGCTAAGAGAAAGAAGGGTCAGAGACTAGTGGCAGGCAGCCACCATTAGATCATTACTGATGAAATAGTCAGTGAAACTCTCTATCACTTTGCCATGGGGAATTCATTCATTAATGTAGTCACAACTCTTTACTGAGCATTTCTTATTTGCTAGACATGGTCTTAGGGTCCAGGGCTACAGAAGATAAATAAACAGGTGATCACTACCCTCAAGAGGTCACATTCCACTGGTAGAGTTGGAATTGTAAGCAGATTCATTACAAATAACAAAATAATAGCTCTCACTTATTTCAAGTGAGTTCCTGCCACTGTTCTAAGTAATTTGCGTGCATTAGCTCATTTAATCTCACAACAACTCTGCAAAGTAAGTATTATTATTATCTCATTTCTACAGATAATTGAACCAGGGCACAAGGAGACTTTTGTACTTGTTCAGGTCACACAGTAAGTGATGGAGCCAGGATTACAACCTGCCCTTCCTTACAACCTGCTCTTCCTTACAACCTCTGACACCATATTCTGAAAGAGGTATAAAAAATGGATCAGGAATTTCTTAATAGAGATTTGCATTGCTTTAAAACCTTTGTTTTATTCCTGTCTATCATATATAACTATTATTAAGAGTTTGGTGAATTTCCTTTCATCTTTCTTTGCAATGGGTTTGCTGCTTTTTTAAAAAAGCATAGTTGTGATTAAATACAGGTTGCATATACAGGTTGAACATCCTAATCTGAAAATTCAAATCCAAAATGCTCCAAAATCCAGAACTTTTTGAGTGCCAACATAATGCTACAAGTGGAAAATTCTATGCCTGATCTCATATGATGAGTCCCAGTGCAAACTACGTCAAAACTGTTTCATACACAAAATTGTTTTAAAATGTTGTGTAAAATTACCTTCAGACTACGTGTATGTGGCGTATATAAGACATCAATAAATTTTGTGTTTATCATAGAATTGGGTCCCATCCTTGAGATATCTCATTATGTATATGCAAATATTCCAAAACCTGAAAAAATTCAAAAATCTGAAATGTTTCTTTTCTGAAACATTTCAGATAAGCGATACTCAACCTGTACAATTTTTAACATGTAATTCCGAAGTTTGTCTATAGGTTTTGAATATTATTAAGCAATGACAGAAGTCCTTGAAAATCATTGTTTAAGGGCTTTCATAACCCAAAAGATGCTATTTTTTAAGTACATTAAAAAAAACTAAGTCCGGAGAGAAGAATTTACTAGATAAAGCATATATTATGATAATAACTTACTTTTAAGAACCATCATGAAGGCTCACTTACATATTGAAATAGCCACAAAGCTCGGGTATCAAAATGATATTTTAACTTGATATCTTCTTGTTACTTAGCCTCTCAAGTTAAATTGGTGTTTCAGAATTGTAAATGCATTTAAAATTGTAGAAATTTTCAACAAATATTCAACAAGAACTCAGTCAGAATAATGTTTCCCATATACCAATTTTATTTAAAAATTAGAAATGGGGGAGGGGCATAAAAATCATGATTAGCCCCAGTTTTTCCATAAAGTGTATTTCTGTTTACATTTTAATAATGATATAAACAGGAATACTCTGCATTCCATGGGTTGCACATCTCACCTATTAAAAAGGCATATGAAACTCTTGTTGGAAAAATAAGGAAGTGAGTGGGGAAAATGTGCTTCAGACTTTCAAACTGTAGCTACTGGCTTTTGTATCAGAAGTCAATTTTTACATTTGAAACCCCAACTGATCTAAGCAAATTTTTCAGCTTGCAAAGTAATGAGTTTAAAAACGAGTCCCTCCTGTTGTTGCTTGATTTTCTTTCTACTTCAGTTGCTCTTTCAAATAACACGCTGAAATGCTAAGGAAGCAATTTTCAGAAATGCACTGGTAGCTAAATCACAGCTGTATGTTGAGACCGCATGTAGGTGGAATTCACCAGCGTTACCTAAAGCCTCTATGATATTCTAGTATGACTTAAAGGAGAAAGAAATCGATGCCTAAGAAAGGGAACTACTTAGCCTGGGTAGACCAAAGCAGAGTGAAATTGCATGGCCATGTACTCATGAGAAGACTCTCGTCTTCATGATTGCCAGATTCACTAAAACCTTGCTGTAACATTGACTTGATAGTAAATTATATAATATAAGACAAATTTACTGAAATCTTTATTTAAGATAAGCTTTAAAAAAAGAAACACTATCAGACCTAAGCACTTTACTTAGATTATCTTATTTGATTCGTATAAGAATGCTATGCGGTAGCTACCATAACTTCCCTCATTTTATAGAAAAGAAAATTGAGGCACAGAAATTAAGTAACTAGCCTATATTTGCAGTTAAGGAGTGGCAGAGCTGGAATGTAAACATAGGCAAAGCTTTCCAAAGCTTTATATTTTGCCACTTCCTCATCTAAAACCTCCAATAGCTAGTAGCTACCTTCAGCTAATAGCTTATCAATGCAATTGACAAGAGATGAGTGGGCCAGCGCATATCTTTGGGGAGCAGGGAATGAATGAAGGCATAGGGTTTTTTTAAAACCAGCTTTCCATTCCAGTTCACCCCATAGGCTAGTGATTTTCTTTGCTCGCATTCTCAGATGCATCCTCCAGTCTTCTCTGCCCTGCTTCCAGGCTCTCCGGATTCTAGGTAGAGTTGGTCATTGGGAGGCACTGGCAGGAGAATGAAGGGCAAGAGGAGAGAGGCCAGGGGCTCTCTTCCTCATGCTCTATTTCAATGCACTTCTCTGGCGCTGGCTGCAATTTTTTTTTTTTTTTTTTTTTTTTGCCAAGGAGCTGCTCCTGCCCTTTCAGCCTTAGCAGTGGTATTAGCTTCCTGTCGCTGGCGTCTGGGTGCTTCAGCATGTCTTATTTCTTCCCTTAACCCTGTCTTACCTCTTTAAGTCATCCTTTCATTAAAGTCCCTTCTCTTGAATTATCTGGGTGGAAATTGTTTTCTGCTGAGTCCTGACTGAGAGGCCTTGTCTTCTATTCTTATTCCTCTCTACATGCATTCACTAAACAAACATTCTCTGAGCCAGGTACTCTTCCAAGGGCTGGTGGTGAAGAACTTCATGGAGAATAAGATAGACAGGTTCTTCCTTTTCTAGGGCTTAAAATATCTGATGCCTTCACTTCTTTATGCTTTTGTTCATTCCCTACTTCCCACTCATCGCTTGCCAATTGTAATGCTTTAACCCCAAATACTTCTTCAGCAAAATTCCAGCATTAAGACGTTTTTTTGAGCACTGTAAAAGGCTAGTTTCTGTGCTAACAATAAAGATTCTAAAATAAATTCTAAAAGTATTCCCTTATCAATCCAGCATTCCAGGTCTTGTTTCAAAGACTCCGTAACTGTCAAAAACCCACAGAAGCAGATGGAATTTTCCTGAGTGAACTGGAGCTGACTATTTGCCCCTTTAGTATGGCCAGCTTCCCAGATGATTAAGAGATGCTTGTGTTGTAGGATAATTTATGGAATTATTAAGGTATTTTTCCCTAACCATTTCCAAGCAATTAGCAAGATTTGGGGGCTCCTTTGTCTCAGGAGATGGATGTTTGAAGAAAGCAAATGTTTTCTACAGGCAACTTACCTTCCTGACCTTTGTTTCTTGAGGCCTGTGCTTTTAAGGAAATCATGGTAGTGGGGAAGGGAGAGATGAGGTTTGGAGGCAGGCCATGAAAATGCCACTGCTGAAGATTTAGGAGAGGACAGAGGCTGCATGTGGCCCAGCATTCCATCGAAGAGGCAGTGGCTGTCTGTGTCCCCAAGAAGTCTGACCTCTAGGCTCTCAGCCAATGCAGATCCCCCAAGGAGGCCAATCCCAGGTGTTCCTGAGATCCCTGCAGCATCAAGGATTCCCCTGTGTGTTCAATGGCATGAAACCCCCTGCCTGTAAGGGACACCAGTAGCAAGAATACTTTAACTTATTCTGAAGTTTGGTTTTCAAATGAAATTATTACATGCTTTCAGATTCCAATGTTGCTTGATTTCTTAGCAGCTAGAAATATTTTCCACTATTTTTTTCAGCACTAAGGTCATTTAGTTGATATCAGTGCAACTCAAATTTGTATATGAATTGTTAACTCATATTTACCAAACTCTAAGCTGCATTTAAGAGAAAGAAAATTGTAGCTCCCTGGGTAAGTAGGAATATTCCTTCCAAGTGGACCTTTAGTTTTCCCTCTCTGCTTGCTCATGATAGTTGGGGGGTTGGAGTGTGGGGGGAGGGAGTGAGTTGATTGACCAGATTATCAAATTATCATTTAGAGTAGGAATTGGCAAACTATGCCCCAGAGGCCAAATCTAGCCCACCACCTTCTTTTGCATGGCCCATGAGCTAAGAATGATTTTTGTATTTCTATATGATTGGGGAAAAAATCAAAAGAATAATAACATTTTGTGGCACTGTATTAGTCCATTTTGTATTTGCTATAAAATAATACCTGAGACTGAGTAATTTATAAAGAAAAGAGGTTTCATTGGCTCACAGTTCTACAGGCTGTATGTACCTGAAGCATAGTGCTGGCATCTGCTTCTGGCAAGGCCTCAGGAAGCTTCCAATCAGTGCAGCAAGTGAAGGAGAGCCAGCATATCACATGGCGATGATGGGAGCAAGAGAGCAAAGAGGGAGGTGCCACACATTTTTAAACAATCAGATCTCACAAGAACTCACTATCACAAGGACAGCAGCAAGCCATTCAAGAGGGATCCACCCCCATGACCCAAACACCTCCTATTGGGCCCCACCTTCAACACTGAGGATCACATGTCAGCATGAGATTTGGAAGGGACAGACATCCAAACCATATCAGACACATGTAAGTTATATGAAATTCAAATGTCAGTGTCTATAATAAAATTTTATTGGAACACGGCCACACTCATTCATTTATATGGCTGCTTGGCACTACAATGCAGAGTTGAGTAGTTTTGACAAAGACCCACAAAGCCTCAAATATTTCTATCTGGCCCTTTATAGAAGCTTGCTGACCCTTGAGATAGGGTGAATGTGGTCATTTTTATTCCTAGGCCTTGAACTTGGCTGTCCAAGAGAGGATCTAGTCACCTAATACCTAGATTTATTTATATCTATATGGTTGTTATTCACCCAAGAATAAAATTGGCATCAGAATAGACTAAAACAAAAAAGGGGGCCATCCCCGTGAGTTAAACGGAAATCAATACATATTGAATGAGCTTAGCCTGACGTATACGAAGTTCTCCCAGAGGCATTATAATAATGATAGCTTCCATTTATAGAACTCTTACTATATGCCATGTACTTAGCAACTCAATCCTCAAAACAGCCCTGAAAGGTGGATACTTTAAAGCTCTTGTGAAAGTGGTGCAATTAGTTAAAATACAGAAATCAAAAGGTATGTCCAATGTGACTCTAGAGGCAGGAAAATGCAGAGAAAGTACTACTTCTAACACACAATGCAAAGAGGTGGGGTTTTCGGCCGCCTGCCGTGACATTTCATCTTGTGGTAGACCAACCTTATAGAGTTGCTATGAGGAATCAGTAACCTAACTTATCGGAAAACACCTTACGGTGTCTGGCAAGTAGTGGTTGCCCAGTGAGTGTTGATTTGCTTCCTTCTCTTTTTTTTTTTTATTCCGAATTAAATTTCATATTTACCAAAAACCTATTTGGGGTATACACAAAGATCAGAATAGTACAGCAATAATTAATAAAATGGTATCAAAAGGGCTGGGGACAGGGGTAGGAGCTTTTTTTCACCATTTATACTTTTCACGTTGTTTTGATTTTGAGCCATGTAAATGGGTTAGCTATCAAAAAATTAAATTGCAAATTTGTAATGAGGCTTAATTTGGAATGTATTAATTTTAGAACTCTCTAGTAGATATGCTTACTCAATTTTATGATGATGGTTCTCCCCAATAATGATTTTATTTGATTTCATGCTTTTTTTCCTACTATTTTGAAATTAATTTATTCCCTGATTTGAAAAATAACAATCTAATATTTTATTTATATAAATGACTCTTATGGATATTAGTGATATCAGCCTTCAGTTCATTTTTGTAACCAACGCTTAGCTTCCTATAGGTTGTTACATCTGACTTTCATGTGTTTTCTATATACTTTTATTTCAAACCAGTAGCATTATTGGGGCAAACACATGTATTCTGTGGTGCATAAAATACTGACTATTTAGTCAATACTATATCAAGTTAAATAGTAACATATTTAGAAGTTAAAATAGGCCAGGCACGGTGGCTCAAGCCTGTAATCCCAGCATTTTGGGAGGCCAAGATGGGCGGATCACTTGAGGTCAGGAATTCAAGACCAGCCTGGCCAACATGGTGAAAACCCATCTCTACCAAAAAATACAAAAATTAGCCAGGTGTGGTGGTGCATCCCTGTAGTTCCAGCTACTCAGGAGGCTGAGGTGGAAAAATTGCTTGAATGACAGAGTGAGACCCTATCCCCCCAAAAAAAAAGTTAAAATAATTTTTTTTTTTCTAAATGTACCAAGACATTTCACTACTGGTTGTCAGTAAGAGAAACATGTCCAAGTTCCCTCACCAGGAAATATGTGGCCCTCTGTGTCCTGGCTCCTGCCCTCCCCTCTGCTCACTCCCTAATGCCACTCCTTCCCCCTTCAGCATCACTAAACCACTTGCAGGTCTCAGCGCCCCCATGCTGTTTATCACATAGTAGGTGCTTAGTTAATATTTGATAAGTTGATGAATGACCAATAAACTTGAATGACTAATGAGCTTTCTGATACTGGTTTACTTTTCCAGAAGGGTTTCTTGTTACAGAAACTAGATAGGCTAAATTCCCTAATATATGTACACCCCATTACTCTTAATAATTATGTGTAATTTTCTATATTATTAAATTAGCTTTTATAAGCCAGTCTCTCCTGAGTTTAGTGAACATGGATCAAACCATCTATATAGAAAAATTGGTGAAACAATGAGCCTATGGCTTGAAACATACACTGTAGAAAGAAGCATCCAAGTAGCACAAAACAGCTTAACTCACCTCCATGCACATGACCCTAGCAGAGTTTCTGACCCAAAATTTGTCTCCAGTCCATCCTAGATAGCAATAACCTCTCCAAAATTCTGCTGTCGTTCTTTTTCTGAAGGGCTCATAAATCAGATGTTATTAGTTAGGATAATCTTCAAGGCTCTTTGTTGACTGGTCCCAATATACTCTTTTTGAGCCATTTTCCCCAATGAAGCTCTCTATTCCAAGTAGGTCAGTTTCTTGAAGACATATGCTCTGTTCATTTCTACCTTCAAATCTTAACCTATATTCTTTCAGTTAAAGAAGTCTCCTGAGTTTATTTGTTTTTAAAGTGGTCTGTTTTGCTTATGCCAATTAAAATTCTGTGTATCAAAAAAACCTAAATAAAACCCATCTCATTCCCATAATCTTTCTTGGCATCTGCTGTTTATACCATAACATCTAATAACTTGTCTGTATGTGCTCTACTTGCTTCCCAGTTGCATTTTATTCATACATCTTGTCTGCTCAAACAAAGGACTGTTCTTTTGAGACCTAGGTTTGGTTTTTTGCTTCCTTGTCATTTCTCCTAATGCCTACCACAGAGCTGACTGGACTGTGGATACCAATTAGACTGAATCTCCAGAAAGCACTTTCAAATTGGGAGGCAGAGAATGAAGGAAATGGATACATACTATCTGCCATGATGGGTATTTGTTATCTAAAGTAATCCTCACAAAATGCTGCCAAGCATTTATTATTAACCTTACCTTTTAGAGATGAAGAAGCAGATGTTCACAAAAGCTAAGTTACTTGCCCAGTGCCACATGGCTAGTGTGTGGCAGAGCTGGAATCTGAAAACAGATGTTTGATGTCAAAGCATTTCTTTTTTTCCCCTCTTTTTACTCAATATTTTGCAATGGTAGCAATCTTTAAGACTGAGGAGTATGTTACTATGCATTCTTAGTGGGTAATTTCATGAAAAAATTAGTTTTGCCTATAAAATGGCATTATCATCTTTCTTTTAAAATAAAATTAAAATTGCATAGAAGACAGCTTATCATTATCAAATAAAATATGGAAACATAAGGGGAATCATCAGGGAAATGAAGTCAGTAGGGAAATAAAAACCTTGCCCAGGTTAGTTAACTAAGAAATCCTGAGTTTAGACAAACTTCAGGCTCCCAGACTTTTTGGAGAGGCAGCAAGAATATCAAAGTATATTTTCTATTGCCTGGAAAAGGGTCTTTCAAAGATCCACATTGTTTTTCTTCATTTCTCTCTTGCTTAACTTTAGAAGACAAAGTAAGATAGTGCAAGTTTGATTTCTAATACTTTCCAAAACAAAACCTAGGCCCAGTATACTAAGAAGGCAAAATGGCAAAAAAGCAAATTAAAAAAAATTTTTTCATTAAAACCCAGTTCCTTTTTCTACCTATAAACCTCAACCACATTACCCATTCTCCCTGTTCCTGTGCCCCCAGCTGCCCTGGAAACAGAGTATTTGTTTAATATCTTTTTCTCTGTTAAGCTTTTTCTTTCTCTTTGGTTTCTCACTGAATGGGGGACACCTGTGTTGTGTAGTGGGCATGCTGGGGGGAGGCCAACCGCATCTCCTGAGCTATAGCAGAGGGAGGGAGGGTTCATCCTGTCTCACAGGAGGAAAACTCCCCCTGAGAAACTTTCAAGGCCTTTTTGTGGGATGACTACAGAAAAATACATTTTATTGACATCTTGGTTGTTTCCAGTTATTCCCATCATTTCTCCTGCCTGTGAGATCTGGAAACTCACATGCTAAGTCATACACATGTAATTCCTCTAGCTGACAGACATCATTCGGAGGCTGCATAATAAGAGGAAGGGAAAGGGGGAGGGGGAGGAGGGGGGGGCTTTCTGAGGAGGCTGAAGCTTTCCTTACATAGAAAAACCATTTCCCTTTATTCTAACCCCAGGCTTGTTTTAATTTCAAGCTATTAATTTGAAATAGCTAATCAGTTGCTACAGGCATACACACACTGCCGGGACTGCAAAATACCTGCCCTTTTCTAATCAACCCCAAAGTGATAATGATTTATATGTATAATGTGCACTTAGTCTGTAAAGCCCAGGCACTTTGCACGAGATGATTTGTGGAGATTATTCAGTAGGATTTTCTAATTCATACTAATGTCTGGGAGGCCCATGGAGGATTCTCACATTTTCATGATTGAACAAGAGAGTGAACACACACATTTTTTTAAAAACACAAACTCTAGGAAGAGGTTTCACAAAGCTTATTTTATGCATTTCCTTGGACAAGTATCACTTTGTTTTGAATGTTTATCATTCTCCATGGGGTACTAGTGGAAATGCCCTAGGAGTCCCTAAAGAGAAGTGAAGCTTACATGGCCTGAGTTTTCATTGCTGCTTCAATACCAAATAGTTACCGGGAAGCAGGATGGGTTTCTTCATTTAAATGAGAATTATTTGGTTTGGCTTAATGAAGCAAGAATTAACTGTTAGCCGTATCACTTAACCCACTGCTGTGATGTATCTATCTTTATTAAGGAAATCTAATACATTCTTGGCAGGTTGCAGCAACCTACACATTTGAGAGAATTGGTAAGAAAGAAGACTATTGATTTTAATTGGAATGACAGCAGGAATTTGAGAGAATGCAGTAATCTGCACTGAAATGGATGTTACCACTATCCCAGCTACAGTGTGTGTCCTGTCTTCCACCCAAACGGTCAATCAGATCTTCACTGACATTGCAAAGTGTTGTCTTGACTACCCCTACTTAAATCCCACTCTGGAGATTCCATTTCCATAATGGACCACTCTCTCGAGGGAAAACACAGCTGCAGCATCATTAAGTGCCCAACCCAGCATAGCACCTTCCCTTGGAGTTCTGCCATTCAAGTCAATTGCAGTGTTGACCCAAATGAGATTATTAAATATCTTGGGAACATTATAATCCCAAGAAACATGGTGGCCAAAAGACCAATTTATACTTACTTAAATTTGACTCATCTTTCCCAGAAAGCCTTTCTCAAACTAAAGTTTAATTCAATATAATAATTGAAATATACTCACCATCCAAATGGGTAGATTCCTGAGGTCAAATGCTTTAATTATTGGGGCCATTATAACATTAGAGACAGGGAGTCATGAGAAAGAAAAAGTCTGGCAAACAAGGGAAGTAACTGAGGATTTGTAAAAGTCTGGCAAACAAGGGAAGTGACTGAGGATTTGTTTTTTAAATAGAAATTCTATTTGTATGTCGCTTCACAGGAGTGCTATTTTATTTTAGTACCTGCCTCTCAATGGTCTCAGTATACTTTACCAATAACACCTTTTTATCATTTATGTGTCTCAGGTTCTGACTTTTGCAACTTCCAAAATATGCCTTTTGCCAGTAATAAGTGAGAATTAAAAAAATTACAGCATATTCCTGAAACATCATTTGGGTAGAATAATTTTTTTGTTCCTTTCCATATATCCTTATTGTTGGTTCCTATCCTAATATTTTAAGAAGGAAAGAAATCCTATTGTGCCTAGAATAGGTATAAATATGAACATCTTCAGGCCCCTCTTTACAGACTTTGTTTACTATTCAGTATTGGATATATGGAAAAATAAGCAGAAGAATAGTGAATTAGCTTGTGTTGCATGTCACTAAGGTTGCAAATTTATGAAGTGAATCAGACTTCAGATCCAATACTTGCCAAATACTGCTTGGACAGTTATATTTTGAGCAATTATTTGCCGAAGATATGTCTGCAGAATACACGGATACCTTGGGAAGAGGTATTGATCATTTCAACTCCCCCCAGCCAATTCTGAACAAATGACTGTACATGTTTTTAAGGGAACTGAGCATGTTCCCTAAGGATGCCCCGTAGTTTTTCTGGTCCAGTGTTTCTCTATTCCTGTTATCACAGTCATATTCCAGCTGAGGTAATTCCATCTTAATGTGCCTGTTACCTATCAAAATGGATGTCACAGTACATTTCCCCCACAGGAGACCGCTTCTGTGGGTAAACGAGGCACATATATCTGGATTGTCACACACTCTAGAAATCCCCTGGGTCTTACAAATGCTTCAAATTTATAGCTGCTAGTTTTAGTGTATGTGGGTGTGTGGGTGACTGTCAATCAAACATGGAGCTTAACATTTACTGTGACTTTTTATATTGAAATACAATTTCTTTTCTTCCTCTGTGGTAAGCCCAGAAATGGAGTGGAACAAGTTAATTAAAATATTGGTGGCTTAATACTTTTCAGCCACTGATAGTTTCCAGTCAGCTCTTCTCTGGAACATTCTTTGTCATTGTGAAGCTAATCTGGAGCCAATAGGAAGATTTTTCTAAACATGAAATAATTTCTTCTAAGGTCTTTCTGCCCTCTCTCTTAAAATCTGAAGGAAACAATCTCATGGACTATTCATTAATGCTTTGACCCCTCTGTGCTACCAATAGAATCCGGGGCAGGGTGGGGACATCACATTTTATGAGCACATACACAGAAAACAGCTTTATCAGCAGGGATCAATTTGTCTTTTCCTATGCATTACTATTGAACTCTCTGCCCATCAGCAATCAGCTGACCCCTGAGGAATAAATACCAACAAACTCCTTCATAGGTTTTAAAGTTTATTTTGGGTCCTTGATGTCCTAGAAATAGAAATATACAAGAAGAAATTTATTTGTATGTTGGCTTCTTTGCTCTTGGTGGAATTATTTGAAGAATTATTTTTAAACTAAAATATTTTATTATACAATGAATGAAAATGTAATCACGAAATGTTCCTTTTCCAGAAGTTGCAAACTGGTAGCCCATAGGCCACATCATGCCTGCCCAGATACTTTTGTGGTCTGCCTGTTTTTGTTTTTTTTTTCTTTTTTCTTTTTTTTTTTTAGACAGGGTTTCGTTCTGTCACCCGGGCTGGAGTGCAGTGGTGTGGTCACAGCTCGACTTCGTGGGCACAAGTGAGCCTCCTACCTCAGCCTCGCCAGCAGCTGGGACTACGGGCATGCACAACCACATCCAGCTATTTTTTTTTTCTTTTTACAGATAGGGTCTTGCTATGTTACCCAGGGTGTTCTTGAACTCCTGGCCTCAACTGATTATCCCACCTCAGCCTCCCAAAGCCCTGGGATTACAGGAGAGAGCCACCATGCTCAGTTACATGTTTTTTATTAATTGAATTAGGAACCACTGTATGTGACCTGGAAGTTTCACATAGAAATATGGATTTGGAGATTCTTTTTTAAAAAAAATCTCCCAGTATGGGGTCTGTACTATCCCCAGAGAGGAGCTAGCAGCAACTGTCCCCTCTCTATGAGGCAAGGCTTCCAGTAGCCACCTTTCAAAGGAGAGATGGGATCCCCTTTTATCAGGCATAAATCCTTTAGTTGCCGTCTTTGGGTAGATACGGGCCCTCCAGTTTGCCACAGTTGTTTCCTCCCAATACAAACCACAAATTCTTCTGTAGGCTTACTAGGCTTACCAGAGATACTTGATTTTGTAATCCCTGTTCTTGATGAGAAACTGTGACAAATGCTAATTTGGATTTCTTAAGTAACTTCCTTCCCAAGAAAACAAATTGTTCATTGAGCACCTATCTGTGCCAGGCACTTTTCTTGCCCTGTCTCACGTGATCACCATGACAACTCCAGTAGGTATTTTATAGTCAAGAGAAGTGGAGCTTGAGAGACTCAATAACTTGCCTGGGACTACACAGCTCATAAGTGGGTGAAATAAATTGTATTTCTATTGCCTGGTTCCGAAGCCCAGACTCTTCCACTAAACCTCTCAAACACTTCAGATGGCTCTACACAAAATCTTATTCATTTTACCACATCCCTGTTGAGAGGAAGGAATTGAGTAGGGAGGTCTAAGAGGGAATGGGAAATTTTGATTTTTTTCCCCCTCATTTGCTACATCATCATTTTCTTCTTAGACCTGTAATAACATCATCTACTTTGGTTTTTGAAATTACTCATGACAAGCTGTGAAACCTAACTTACGTGTGGCTTCTGTAGGCTACTACTAGAAAATTGGCATCCACATGGCTGTCATTCCTTCACTGGCTGTATAGTCTCCTCTTCAATTGCTGCACAGCTGTATGGAGCTCAATTTGTAATAAAAGTGGTTTAGTGCAAACCATACATACATAATGGTCTTTGATTTCCCCCTCGGCTTTGAAAATCTCTCTTAATTATCTGCCTGTAGGCTTGGAATTTCTTTGCCAAGTCTATCTTCATTTACTGAAGTGTCTCCAGAGTACTACTTTTAGAGGAATTTCTTCAGAAGTGGAAACTGGCCCTAAGCCCTCATGTTGAAGAAGGTCAGTGTAGCAATAACATTGACTTAAAACTTACTGCAGTAAGGAAGTCCCTTTAAAAAGGCACTCTGTGCCCACTCTGTTAAAAAGAAAAAAAAGTTGTTAAAATAGAAGTGAGGAAGGCAAAGAAGAACAGTATAAAGCCACAGCTGGGAGAAGTAACAATTTAGTTGAGCTGATTCCCTGGTGTGGGGAGGAGGCCTTTCTTCTGTTCTGTGTGCCTCTGAATTCTGCTTACCCCAACACACTTGAACAACTTTGCTGATACCTGCATTAATAATTTCTGTCATCTATTCAGTTATTCATTCAAGCCTTCTCTGAACACCTATGTAAAATGATACTTCTCTATTCTTTTCTATCCCCTTGCCAGGCTTTATTCTCCTCTTGTCACACGTATCACCAGTCCATTATATTGTATGTTCAATTGTTTTATTTTTGTTTCTCTCTGTTACCTAAATGTAGGTCTCTGAGGACAAGGACCTGGCCTGTTTCATTTATTGCTATACCCCTAGCACCTTGTGCATGGCACATAGGAGAAACTCAATAAATATAAGTTATTGAACTTCCACTCTGTATTTAGGATCTAAAAATGAATAAGACATGATTCCCACCTTCCAGGCATTCACAGACTTTTTAGAGACAGATGTAAACATAAATGCCTCTTGCAGTATGAGAACTTGACTGGTATGCATGACTTCAGCAGAAGTGATTTAACTGATTAACTGCTGCACTAGGTGAGTGTGATGATTAATTTTCTGCATTACCTTGAATGGGGCATGGTTTCCCAGATTTCTGGCCAAGCATTATTCTGGATGGGTCTGTGAGTGTTTGGGGATGAGATTAACATTTGAACTGATTGATAGACTGAGGGAATCAGATTGCCCTCCCTGTTGTGGGTGGGCCTCATTTAATCAGTTGAAGGCCTGACTAGAACAAAAGGGCTGACCCTCCCAGGAGTGGGAGGGAACTCCTCTCACCTACTGCCTTGAGCTGGAACATTAGTCCCTTCTGACTTTCAGAATTGGACTGAAACACAAGCTCCTTTTGGGTCTTGAGCCTGGTGGCTTTTGGACCGGAACTACACATTGGCCCTCCTGGGTCTCCAGCTTACTGAATACAGATCTAGGGAGTTTTCAGCTTTTGTAATTGCATGATCCAATTCCTTATAGTGTGTGTATGTGTGTGTGTGTGTGTGTGTGTGTGTGTGTGTCTATATGTATGTCTATATGTATATCCTGTAGACTGATAGGCTATATCTACATATCTGCACATATAGATATATCTATATATCTATAGGCTATATCTACATATACAGATATATCATATTGCTTCTGTTTCTCTGAACCCTGGCTAATACAGTGGGCCAGGCATACAGACTTAAAAGCATCATACCCTGCTTCTGTAAGAGACAGATGCCAACTGGAATTAGAAGTGCAAGTGGTTTACTAAGAGAAGAGCCTGTGAAAGATAAAGGACAAAGTGGAGGGAGCTGGAGGAGGTGGAGGAAGCCTGCAGCCCATGATGCAGCTCTGAGACCTATGAAAGGAGAAACAGAAGAAAGGATTGAGTAGAAAGTGCTTCAGACCAAAGTGCAGTTCTGAGAGTTGTGGCCAGCCTGATGGAGAGTCCCTGAACCAAAGGCACCCATTTGAGGAATCCCCCTTTAGGCAGGAATGGCCCAGCTCTAGCACCCACCACTGTACTCAGTCATTGACTGGGGCAGCCTGGGGAAGTGTGACCTGGAAGTGAACGCTGCAGTCAATCCAAGGTACAACAGCTGAAGACTATGAATCAACTATGCCCCACACAATAGGCCCTCCCACAGGGAGATTCGAACAGGGCACCTTCATGACCCATTCTTCTGGCATGCCCTTCTGAGGCTGGGGGTGGGCTTTCACAAGTTCTGACCATCATAGAATCTCTATGTGGTAAAGATAATATGTTCTTAAAGTGGGGTAGGGGCTCCCTAGGAACCTGTATTGAAGCTTATGTTCTTATTTAGATTGTATATTTACCAAAGCCAATCTTGGAGCCATCTCTGCTCACATGCAAGAGTGGGCCAGGCTGAGGAAGGATGATGGTGGGAATCTAGGAAAAGGAGGGGCCTGGAAGCTGGACTCTTTGTCTCTTCTGCTGAAGCCAGAGACTTGGGAACAGCAGGCACCTGTCATCCCAAGGTGCTGGGATGGGAGGAGGACCTGGTTTTTGAAACCAATGATACATCAATCCATGGGCAAACTTTGGTACCTACACTCTATTTGGCAGACCTCTGGCTGATCTCAGCCCTGCCTTGGATACATTGCAACAGAACTGGGAGAAATATGGCAGAGATCAGCTCTCCTTAGTTGAAACAGAAAATCCCCGAGGATGGGCAGGAAAAGATACTAGATACTAGACTACCTGTTCTTCTGATAAATCATATAATGTTTGCTTGTTAAATGATTATAAATCTAGTTCTTTCTTTTATTCCTCCTTTAGGATCAAAATTTATTACCAATTCAGAAGATTAGTGTGGGCTGGGCTCCCCTGTAAACATTTCCCTCTTTATTATATTTCCCCTACTCTGCAAATTAAGAGAACTGCCACTTAAAGCCTGTAAAAAACAACCCTGTCAGTTAACTCTGATGGAGTCATAGTGATGAAATATTAGCTAGTGCTAGACAGGAGTCTGGAGATCCTTTATTATTACATATAGAAAGAAATGAGTGATTACCCAAGGTCACCTGGCCGACTAACTGCAGAAACAGGCTGGGACCCAGGGCTTTGGTTCTCAGGCCAGAGCTCTGCTCACCATGGCAGCCTTGCTTTCTTCTCTGATTGTACCCGGCTTTTTGTTTGGTTGCTTGGTTGGTTTTGGTACTTTTATGCTAGAGAATACTTGGTTAGCCAAAGATTTTTTCATAACCCCTGTAAAGCATGAATTTCACTTTTTTAGGGAACCACTTTTTCCTCTGGCTAAGAGTTTTGCGCCCCAACTTAATGGGAAAAAAAACAAACATTGTCTTGCTGCAGGAGCCTATAAAAATGCCATTTCTTTGAAAACTGGCAATGGCTAAAGCCTCACATAAACCTCTGAAGGAAGAAAAGGACGGAGAAGCTAAGGTGCACAAATCACCCAGCTTTGTGACTGGTAGAGCTAACACTTGTTTCCTGATGTGGACGGTTCCAACAGCTGCTTGTCTGCAGACTCAGAAACTTCTTTGAACTAGAAGGAACTTTGACAATTATCTGTGAGGAAACAGAAAGAACATGTCCCGTGAGCGCCGTCACAGGGCAGAGTCAGAACCGGAACCCACGCCTTCCAACTCTTAGTCAGATGATTGTCTGTGACAGAATATTTGGAAGACTCCAAGGATGAGGCTTTTAATTTCAGACAAGTAAGTGCAAATTAGGAAGTGTATCAAAAGTCAGTGCATCGACTATGATAATCATTGTTTTGCCCTTATTATGTTCCAGGAACTGTTCTAAGGGCTTTACATGGA
Source organism: Homo sapiens (assembly GCF_000001405.40). Lineage (NCBI taxonomy): Eukaryota > Metazoa > Chordata > Mammalia > Primates > Hominidae > Homo > Homo sapiens. Next base: position 81,505,145 of record NC_000004.12, on the reverse strand, counting down.
TTGAGTACTTCCTTACACTGGGCTATTAGTCAGCTTTCACCAGGCTGTGTTACAGCAATAACCCCCAAATCTTAGTAGTTTACAATAACAGAGGTTGTAGGTGGTTGTGATGGGTGAGACTCCTCCAAATGGCTTCTTCAGTGCAGGATCAGGGTGAATGAGAAGACCCTATTTGAGATATGTCATTCTTGTGGCAGACAGAAAAGGGCGCAATGGCCCAGAAAGCCTTTGCTCAGTCAGGGCATATGTCATTTCCACTCAAATGCCACTGATCACGGCAAGTCACATGGCCAAGCCTGATGTCAATGAAAGGAACACAGCAAGTCACATGACAGTAGCCAGGGATAATGCAGCAGACTAGCAGACTAAATATTTCTGTTCCCTCAGAATTCATAGGTTAAAATCCTAATCCCTAATGTGATAGTATTAGAAGGTGGGACCTTTGGGAGTTGATCAGGTCATGGGGGTGGGGGCTTCGTGAATGGGATTAGTGCTCTTATTAAAGAGACCCAAGAGATCTCTCTCATCCTCTCTCTGCCATGAGGACACAAGGAGAAGTCATCCTGTCTCTGCCATATGAGGACACAAGGACAGAAGAGGGCCCTCGCCAGAACCCAAGTATGCTGGCATCATGATCTCAGACTTCCAGCTTCCAGAAGTTTAAAAAATAAATGTTTGTTTTTTAAGCCATCCAGTCTATGGCAATTTGCTATAGCAGCCAGAACAGCAGCTAAGACAGATGTGTGTCTGTGTGTGTGTGTGTGTGTCTCTGTGTGTGTGTCTGTGTGTGTGTGTGTCTGTGTGTGTCTGTGTGTGTCAGTGTGTGTGTGCGTCTGCGTGTGTGTCTGTGTGTGTGTCTGTGTGTGTCTGTGTGTGTCTGTGTCTGTGTGTTTGTGTCTGTGTGTGTGTCTGTGTGTCTGTGTCTGTGTGTGTCTGTGTGTGTGTGTCTGTGTGTGTGTCTGTGTGTGTGTGTGTCTGTGTGTGTGTCTGTGTGGGTGTGTGTCTGTGTCTGTCTGTGTGTGTGTGTCTGTGTGTGCCTGTGTGTGTCTTTTGTGTGTGTGTGTGTCTGTGTGTGTCTGTGTGTGTGTGTTTTAACATGAAAGGTAGCAAAATATTTGAAACAATATTGCAATCTACCACAATAAGAATCACCACTTAACATTTATAAGCTCATCTGATCTTCACAACAAAACCTATTAGGTACGTAAAACTATCATCTGTTATCTAAAGCTTATACAACAAATGAGAGACAGAGCTAGTATCTGAACCCAAGCAGTCAGCCTGAAGACTGATCCTTAATCAGCAGGCCATGCTGCTTTTCAAGATTTGCTGCCTCTCATCTGCTAACCCTCTGTCAGACACAGTTCCCTTCTCCCCTACTCCCTCCGCCAACTGGTAAAGTCAGCCAAATGCCTAATGCCGAGACTTCAGCCATCTGTTATTTTTACCTACATTGCCACATTCATTTATTTATTCAAAAATATATATTGAGCATCTGTGGACATGACGTGATACAAAGCAGTAGGCAGAGAGTGGGTACAAAGATACATCAGAAATAGATGATGGGTTCTGTTCCCATGAACCTAGTGAAAATTTATATAACTAAAATAATAAATCATAAACACATATGAACCTACAATTAAATTGCTATGGGAAAGCCAGAAGAATAAGCAAATTATTCTGGTGAAGGAGCTCTAGAAAAAGATGGGAGAGAGACATTTAGTTGTCTTTGAAGGATAGATGGAGTATGAAGGTGGGCAGATGGAAGGGAAGGAGAGGAATGCATGAATATAGGGCGTGAGGACATGTGGTGGGGCCACAGAACCATTAGTTCCAGGCCACATTCAGGAGGGCCCACAGAAAAGTTTATACCCTGACTCAGTAATGCATACATTGGCAATGCTAAAGACGTCCTATGTCACCCTATTTTAAACTATTCCAGTACTGGATCACACTGCCTGTGATGACTAGGAATGAGTATTTTTATAGACCCTGTAATTATCTTTGAATAGCACAATTATGTGACATTGTGTTTTGTAGACACTAAAAGCATTAATTTGATAAATGTTACCTTTGAAAATATATCAAATTTTTCAAATCTTGTTTTGGCTTTTCTTCATTTCTAAAAAATATACCAGCAGCTTCAAAAAAAGAAAGCAGATTTCATGTCTTTCAATGTCTTTACAGTAAAACACGGTGGGAAGAAAATACAATAATTTTGGCTGCAAAAAAATCATTCAGTTCATACTTCAACAAATATTTAATGAGCACTTAGTATAAACAGGGCCTTATTCTAGGTGTTGGGGATGTTGCAGTGAAGAAAGGGTACACATTTCTGTCGTCATGGCATCTGCATTCTGCTGAGTATATAAAAGAAGTAGTGAGAACTGAAAAGCTAAGTTGTGCATTTGTGGAGGAACCAGACCTTGACTGCCAGGCTAACTAGTAGGCAGCAGACAGTGGGGAGTCATTGAAAGTTTTCTGCAGAGACATGATGAAAGCTAGCCTTTAGGGGGTTAATCGGGCAGCACTACGGTAGGTGGAGGTGAACTAGAAAAAGGACTTGGGTGGAGGAAGGGGCATTCAGAAAGCAGTTTATGCCATGCAGAAGCAGTTCACGGTGTCCAGCAGATGCAAAACTGGTCCTGAAGTCAGGTAGGCAGAGTGAATGCAAAGGTTGGACAAGATGTAAAAGATCCCCATGAGATAGAACAGCAGGGGAAGAATTCCTCATTGTGTGAATGTGAAACCAAGGGAAAAAAGAAAATCAAAGTTCCTGTGTACTCATCTCTGGTAAGGGCAAGGTGGTTTAGCCCAGAGTGGGCTTTGGCATCAGATGACCCTAGCTTCAAAGTCTGGTCTGACATTTAACAGCTGTGAAACTTTGGGCAGGTTGGTCAATCTCTCTGAGCTTCAGTTACCCCATCTGTAAAAGTAAAAAATAATTCCTAACTGCAGGATTAAATAAGATAATAAGTGTAAATCACAGAACACAGACAGCTCCCAGTAGCTTTTTACTGTGATTATTATAGTTACATGGAAGATGAACTGCCTTGGGGGATGCATTTGAAGTAACTGCTGGACATCCAGAGGGAGATGTTGAGCATTTTCTGTGCTGAACACTTGACAAACCTCATCTCAGTTTGTCACGACAAGCCTTTGAGGAAGATATGGTTGTCATTACTATTTTACAAATGAAGAGAATGAGATTTAGTTAACTAAACTTAGCCCAGCCTAAGCAGCTAGTGAGGTGCAGAACTCAGGTCCCCCGACTCCAAAGCCCATACTCTTAAAACATTCAAGGTTCGGAGCAAACCCAGAAGAGCCACTTGATTTAGTTTAAAAACTCTCACTTTCCCTGGCCACCCATCCTCAAACGCCTCCCACAGGCACCACTTGGCTGGCCCTGATTCTCCTGCGTGCTTGTGAAGGAATGAGTTCAGTCTGAAGGGAGCCACCCTGCCCATCTCAGCAGCCTCTTTTGGTAGATTAGAACAGATTTTGCTGTTTCTGCTCAGATACTTATTAGTTAGCATAATCACGGTCATAGACAGTCGGCTCTTTTGGCCCTGGTCAGGTAGTCATTGTCCTTCCAGATTTGCTATGTCCTATCTCTGGTAATATTCACCAAGCTTCCTGGGGCTGGGAGTTAACATGATTGAAACACACCAACCCAGGAGTCAAGACCCAGGTTCATTTTAGGCCTTTATCACTTACTACCTGTTCGATTTGGGGAAAGTTTCTTGTCCTTTTTGAGCTTCTTTCTCTTCTTCATTTGCAAAGCAGAGATAATGACCCCAGGTTCAAACCAATCAACAAGGAAATGAAGACAATCTGCAGAAGGAATCACTGTGCAACTAGCAACCGTTTTCTGTGACACCCCCTAGTCCTAACAGTGCCCAGATGGAGGAATGAGAAAGATGTGGGCTCTTAGCCCCAGAAGATGTCAGGAGATTCATGAGCCACAGAATATGCCCAAAGGAAACATCTTCCTGACCCTTTCATCAGACTACCTTGACCTTCTGTTAGACCTATTTTAATTCTTCTTTTGTTTCCCAAGTGCAGTCATATTGACTCATATTTCACTCAAGAAAATGTGTGGCATTCACAGAAACAGCTCTGTCCCTCTTATTTTGATGTTAACTTCAGCATTACCTGTGTAGATTACAGGTTTCTGATCCAAAACAAGCTCTGCTTAAAACAGAATGGAAGCAGCTCTCTGACTCACTTAGCAGGTTAATATCAAGCATGTTAATAGCTTTGCCATTGCTCAGTGAACAGATTCTAGCAACAAAGACTACTATGGTGTTCTTTCCTAATAATTTTCTGTGTATAGATCCACAAATTGGCTTTCAGAAATTCATGGCACAAAGATGGCATTTGCCAGCCAGTATTTGGAAAGAATCTGATATTCTCAGAAGAAAAAGTATGATGCAAATTGTTCTGTAATGCTAGGGGAGCTTAACTTTGCTTCTATTCGAAGTCAATCCCTTTAAAATATTGGCCGGGCACAGTGGCTCATGCCTGTAATCCTAGCACTTTGGGAGGCTGAGGCAGGCAGACTGCTTGAGGTCAGGGGTTCCAGGCCAGCCTGGCCAACATGGTGAACCCCGTCTCTACTACTAATACAAAAATTAGCCAGATGTGGTGGCAGGTGCCTGTAATCCCAGCTACTCGGGAGGCTGAGGCAGGAAAATCACTTGAACCTGGGAGGTGGAGGTTGCAATGAGCCAAGATGCGCCACTGCACCCCAGCCTGGATGACAGAGCAAGACTACATCTCAAAAAAAATAAATCAATAACTAAAATAAGATAAATAAAATATGAACTCATCTCACTGAGCAAAGACCTGCCTTTTTATTGACATTCACTTCTCACACTGCCTCACAAGCAGGCGTTTTCGTGTTTTCCTTTTCTTTTCCTTTAATGTATGATCTGGCCTGTCTAAGGAGACACTGAAATGCCAGAGCAATCAAGCGAATAATCGGCATTTACTGTGGGCTCTGCCACATTTTCCAACCAGAAGGACAGCAGAGTTGAATGAGTGGGGGTCTCTTTGCATGTGGCTTTGTGCAGCAGGCCTGCCAAGCATTACTATTCCAGCCCTTAAACCTGTGCCAGACTGTTAATGTCTTAATGCTTATTCAAGTGTCAGGGAGTGCTGGCAGATGTCAGAGAGAATGGGAGGCTGTCAATAAGGAAATTACTTACATTCACAGGGTGATTGCAGCAGTCTGTCAGGTAGCGTTTGAGAGGATGTCATGCTGAAAGAAGGAAGCCAAGGGAAAAAAAAAAAGGGTGGCAGCAAACAGCATTGAGGGAGAGTCTTTAAAAAAATTGTTTGTGGATTTTTTTTTCTTTTATTTCTGGAGCTAAACTTCAGATACAACAGTCACACACAGGTCAAGAAATAAACAAGAAGGTATTTCCTATTTGTGGAGACCTTAAACACAAGAGCTGCGTGACAAGGGGCTTTCGTTGCTTGAAACTGACAAAAAATTCAAGCTCTTTTCTGAGATGGTAGCAGGAATTAGCAACGCATAGGGTGTTCCATACGTTATATATGTCATCCAACAACCCTTTACCTACCTACTATGTGCTAGGTGTGATCAATAATGCAGTGACTAAATGTACACAGGAAATATATTTTTAAAACACATTTTTTAAATTCTAGGCAGGGAAAGACATCTTCTTTGCTGTGCAGTTTTAAGATGAAGAATTTGAATGAAGTAGTATCTCACCCATGCAACTTTCACAGCGCATGCCTTTCTTTGCTTGCATGGGGAGGGGACTTGAAGAATGAGCTTCTGGAGAAGGCAATCTTGCCTTTAAAAGCCTCTCTTAGTTGTTCCGGATTTGCCATGGTGATTCTATTTATTACCTCCTTATGCCTGGAAAGTTCTATTCCTGTCTCTTTTATTTTACTGGTCTTTATACTCTCCACCTCATCCCTCCAGGGAGAGCCTCCTCAGGAGCTTATAATGGGGTTACATCTCAATTAACCCATCATAAGTAAAAAATATCATAAACAGAAAATACATTGATACTTTCTGACAAACCCATTGTAAATTTGAAAACTTTGAAGTTGAACTATCCTTAAGTTGGAGTCTGTGGGTCTGTGGGTGTGCTTGGAAGAGGAGGGAGCAAAAATACTGTTGTCATTAGTCAGTAGTCAGATGCAATTGTCTAATTACATGGGAAAAGATGTGATCATAGTTATGAAGCTTACCTTTTAAGTGAAAAGTCAGCCCCTCAGAATCACCCTGGAAACATGAGACATCTCTAGTGCTCATCCCTGATGATGAGAAAAACACCCTTGCATTTAGAGAGAATATGGCAATTCCATTCATAGTTAATGGTGATTTTTTTAGGGCTGTCATTACTTAATGTCACACTTGCATGGTAACATAGCTCCCTTTCATATTTCAGAATTTATCCCAGAAGGAATAAAAGAGGGGATGTGAGTCACATTTGTTAGTTAGCTTTAGACTGACCAGTCAAAGAAAAGCAACTATTTTACTGATGGAAACTCCAGAGCTGATGGTGCTCAAGAGTACAAGAATCAAGGACAGGGAACTTTTTTACAGAGTACCCGAGTCAACCAGACTCCTGAAAGATGCCACTGCAGTGATTGTCTCTGTGGGGACAAAACCAGCTGGGTGAAATAGGGGATAATAGCTAAAGTCCAGATGTGGCCTGGATAGATTCCCATGCCCCCACTCTCTACTGCTCTTCCATCCACAGTTCCTCTCTTCTCCCCTAGATCAAGAGAGGTGGAGTTTGGATTCTGGATAAGAATGTGCTCAGGTCCACATCAGCACAGCCCTTTCCCCAGGAGCATCCCGCCTACCTGCTGGCCTGCCTGCGTACTCATGGAATTTGCAGGGTGCATACCTCAATCAGTTTACACCAGTCATGGATGAGGCTCTGGGCTTTTTGAAGTGTCCTCTGTACCTTTGAAGTGCTCTCCCCAAGGGAAGATAAGCAAATTTCTGGGAGAAAAATGTAGCAGGACTTAACCTATCCCCAGGGAAATTCTTCCAGAGATACCTCACATTTCAGGAAGGAGTAAATAAGTTTTTATGAAGATACAAAGGGCTTTCCATCTTGTTCTCGCTAAGCTGAAGCAGAGAACAATCAGGTTGGAAACCCTCTGTGATCCACATATTAGCTCTGAAATATCTTTCTTCCTTAGAGCTATAGCTTCTCAATGCCCACCTCCACTGGCCTTTACACCAACTACAGACGACCTAACCTTTTCTCCTACGTGCTGCAATATTAAGCTGTAGGTAAAAGTCAGAGCATATTAATCAGTCAATCCAGGAATAACACTGAAAGAAATACTTAAAAACACAGAAAAACATGCTCTCCATAGACACAATCAATATCAAGGCAAAATTCTGGAAATGCCAGAAAAACATTAACGAATAATTAAATTTCCCATGTGCATTTATTTTCCCACTTGGTTACTGCTTATTTTACTAACTCTATTAAAAATTTTAAATCCACTGGAATCACTCTGTTTTTTACAAATTAAAATCCATAGTGTTTTTAAAATATTTTCTTCCTGCTCCCATCCTTTCTAATGTTATGATGGCTGTTATGCTCAGTTTTCATGTTCCTTGTATCCTGTTCTCTAATTGGATACCTGTCAAGGGGCAAAGAGAAAAATAATATCACAAAGCCAATAACTATCATTTATTAAATACAGAGTGCTGGGATAACCTCTTTGCATTTATTATGTTACTAAGACTTTAGGACAATCCATTACCCTTATTTCATAGGTGGGAATTAAGGTTTAGTAATGTTAACTCAAGAACCCTAAGGCCGAGCATGGTGGTCCACACCTGTAATCCCAGCACTTTGGGAGGCTGAAGTGAGCAGATCACCTGAGGCCAGGAGTTCGAGACCAGCCTGGCCAACACTGTGAAATCCCATCGCTACTAAAAAATACAAAAATTAGCTGGGCATGATGGTAAGTACCTGTAATCCCAGCTACTCAAGAGGC